>NT_187665.1:0-174061 GCF_000001405.40 Homo sapiens | reverse complement strand
TTAATTTTATTTACAGCTGAAACTCTAGAATTTTGGGGGAAATTTAATGAAGTGCTTTGATAAACTAAGATTACAATGCTAGCGTTCAGCCTCCATCCTGTTGCCAGGACAGCCATTCTCAGGAGCGCACAGTGCTGCTTAGCTGCTGTGGCGACTGCTGGGATTTGAGCACTTCTGGGCTGACCCGCTGGGGTGTGAGAATGGGGGCCAGTGAACGCCGGTGGCGGAGGCAGCTGAGCGGGGCTGGGGGCCACACCCTGCTATGGGAGCCCGTCACCTCCGCACTCTCCTCTAGCAGAGAGTGTGCGAGAGTTTACGTATTTCTTTCTTCCCTGAGTGTCCTGTTGCCCCTGAAGCTGTGTCCACCTCTGAGGCTGCTCACACCTCCAACCCTCCTGGCATCGGGACAGTGGCCTTTTGTGTCCAGGAGAGAAGCAGTGGCCAGTGTGTGAGGAGGTCCCCTGAGAGCGGACGTTTAGGGGGATGGAGGACCTGAGTGCGGGGTACCCCACGGGAGGACGGTCCAGGATCCGTAAGAAATTTCCTGTGTCTGTGTTGTTGGTATGCAGATCCCTCTACATTTAGCCTTTGACAATTGTCACTCATTTTATTAAACCTCCCAGGTATTTATCCTCTGAAAAGTCGCCCTGGGCCAAAACTGCAGTTCATATTCAGGCAACTTCACAGCTTCTTCCCTGGATTCTGATCGTTTTCAAAAATAAAGACACCGAGTCTCTTGAAGTGAACTCCAGACGGTTTCTTTCTTGTCATCTTTCCTTCTGCATTTCTTCCTATCTAAGTAAGCAGTGAAATGGGGAGAGGGGTAACAAAGAGAAGAAAGCATCAGAAGGATTTGTTTATAATCCTGACTTCATGTTTAAAATTGGATTTCCTAGACCAAAAAGCAAAAAATCCGGGGATAGTTGTATATCTTATACTTTGAGAAATCTTATGGGAATCTTATGGGAAAATAATATCTTTACTTTGAACAGTCTACTGCCTGCCTGGTGATGAACTGAAGAAGAGGCTGACCAAGGCTGGGATCTGCCCAGCCTAGCTGAGGTTAGGAGTTTGCCCAGCCTAGCTGAGGTTAGGAGTTTGCTCGGCACACAGAACAGCATCCTCAGACTTCCCTAGTGAAATTATCCTGGGGAGTTAACTTCTTTTCGTTGAGAACCTTAACATAAAATCCTAATGCTATTGCAGACTAGATTCTAGACATAAGAAGAAAAGAAAGAAGTTGGGTATGTGTTTTTCCCAGTTATTATTTTTCTCAATCTCTGGTCATAGGCGGGGCGGGCGCCTCCCACCCGGCCCTCCCCCAGGGCCATACTGTCCCCGATTGCCGGCCACCTTGGGGTCCCGTCCCTTTCCCTGCATGGCGCCCCTGATGTGCCTGCCATCTCTGTCTTGAAGAACAGGGCTGGTCACAGCTGCTCCGGCTCTGAGTTGGCCTGTGATTCCTCATTAGCTGCAGAATGACTCGGAGGTTCTTAGCCTGACCCTGTGAAGCCCACAGAACATTCTGGATGTTGCCTCTCTTTTCTGCTTTACACACCTGTCACGTGTGGCAGGTCTCCCTCAGGCTTTACTTCCCATCCACACACCTTAACATGTCCAGTCCCGACGCTAAGCACATGATCACACTCATGTGCAGAATGGCTGGGTGAGGATCCGACCTGGGTCACTGGCCTGAGAACTTGTGCAGGGGACCTACGCCCTCTGAGCTCTCCAAGGGGGAGAGAATCACATCTCACGGCCTCTATAGCTTGGGTAGCTCTGAGTGTAGAAGCATCTGCACAGCATCTTTCATTTCTATCCTTCCTCCCAGCTGCTTGGAAGGCTGAGGCCAGAGGATCACTTGAGCCCAGAAGTTCAAGGTTGTGGCGAGCTATGATCCTGCCACTGCACTTTAGCTTGGGTGACTGAGCGAGACCCTATCTCAAAAAAAGAAAAAGAAAGAGAAAAAGACTTGACTGCAATGGCATTTTAAAAATACAATTCACGTGACACCTCCACAAACAAACAGGCCAACAATCGTTCCTTTACTTGAACTTTAATGTGTGGTACCTGTACCTCTTTCTGGTACAAAGCTATAAGGAAATCAATGACAATCAAGCTTCTTCTCTGTTCAAATGCAGGCAGATGACAGAACTGTTTTGAATTCTCCTGTTATTTTCTTATTGGAGTAGTTTATGATGGTGGGTTTTAGTTTGAATATTAATTAATTAATTAATTAATTTTTTGAGACAGAGTCTCGCTCTGTTGCCCAGGCTGGAGTGCAGTGGTGACATCTTGGCTCACTGCAACTGCCACCTCCCGGGTTCAAGTGATTGTCCTGGCTCAGCCTCCCGAGTAGCTGGGACGACAGGCGTGCACCACCACGCCCAGCTGATTTTTGTATTGTTGGTGAAGACAGGGTTTCGCTGTATTGGTTAGGCTGGTCTCAAACTACTGACCTCAAGTGATCTGCCTGCCTTGGCCTCCCAAAGTGCTGGGATTACAGGTGTGAGCCATCATGCCTGGCCTGTTTGAATACTTTTAATGGATCTACACAGTTCCTTGTGAATTAAAAAAAGAAGAAATGAAGGTAGCTATAGAGGGTAACTCTCTAAGGTGCATATGTTGGTCTTTTACTTCCTGAGGCAATGTTTTAAAATTTATCAAAAATAGATTTTGAAGCTCTTTGGTCTCATATTCACAAGTCCATATATTTCAGACCCTTTTCTGCTGCCCTCAACACTGGATCCCCAGACTCCCTCCTCTTCCTGCTCCACCCAACAAAAGTGGGAGGTGGGTTGAGGGAAGGTGAGTTCGGGCCATTCTCTCACTGGAGGAGGGACAAGGAGGTCCTGTGGCTCGTGGCCATGATCCTGTACCTGGTCACCCGTTCTACTAGGCAGCCATCCCCAGACTGGAGTTGACTCTATCCATGTCTGCAGGGGCGGGTGCCTGACCTGGGCTCTGCACCTTCCTGTGACTGTATCTGCTGGGGTGGGTGCCTGACCTCCGTTCTGCACCTTCCTGTGCCTTTATCCATGTCTGCTGGGGTGGGTGCCGGACCTCCATTCTGCTCTGGAGTTTGAGGGTCTTTGTACCGCTTGCTATAATCACGGGGCTTCACGCACAGCCATGCATCATTCCTGCTTTGGCTGGTGGGTTTAGTGTGTGCTACAGATGGGAGGGGTTTGTGAACCTTCTCGACACTGGCTGCCATCACGCGGGTTACACACGAGGCCCAGGTTACAGGAGGCTTCAATGTATTTTAGAACCTTGACATATGTTCCCTTCTCTCGTCACCCGCGACGTGTTCTACGACAAGGTCCTATTTCTTTCTGCCCGCATTGTTGGTGGTGCTAATTCCCTAGTAGGATGGATGACAGAAGGAAGGAGACATCTCAGGCTTGTCTTTAGGGGCCTCACAGTCTATTTTAGCTGAAAAAACTAACGCTGACGGATTGCATGGCAATGACTTCTTGCTTAGACGTGTGATGTGACAGATGGAAACCATGAGGAGCAAAGCCCTCGTGCATGCGGCCTGGAGAGACTGGGACCTTCTCAACTGGCCATGGGAGAGAAGCTGCATTATTCACAGCAGTGCAGGCTGTGGGACTCCCGGTCCTGTGGGATGGATGGGCCTCGCTTTAGGCCACTTGAAGCTAGTGTGGGCAAGATGGGCATTCTTGGAGGGCAGGAGGGAGAGAAGGGCGTCGCTCACAGTGAGAAAGCGGGTGGGAGACTGGCATGCAGTGTCACATGCAGCTTTCAGAGCTGGAGAAAACGGAACTCCCTGGCAATCTGGCAGTAGCCTGGCACAATTACATGTTTGAAAACTTCATTTCCACAAGAACTAGGAAGATAAGTTGCATTGACAAGGTCTTAAATCACAAAGTTTCCCCGAGACTCTGAAACGATTGTAGGCACTGGTTTTGTCTTGCAGTGGGGAGAGGCCAAGTGGCGAGAGGAGCCTCCCTGGCTGTCCTCAGCAGCACGGTGCATTTTGCAGCTGGGAAGCCCCATGGGGAATGGCTGGAGGCTCACGTTCAGGGCCTGAGGACGACAGTGGGTGCCACACACCGCAGGTGGAACGGTGAGGGCAGGAGGGTGACATCCAGGCCCTGAGGACGACAGTGGGTGCCACACACCACAGGTGGAATGGTGAGGGCAGGAGGGTGACATCCAGGCCCTGAGGATGACAGTGGGTGCCGCACACCACAGGTGGAATGGTGAAGGCAGGAGGGTGATGTCCAGGACCTGAGGATGACAGTGGGTGCCACACACCACAAGTGCAGGTTGATGTCCAGGCCCTGAGGACGACAGTGGGTGCCGCACACCACAGGTGGAGTGGTGAGGGCAGGAGGGTGACGTCCAGGGACGCGGGGCTGCCTGGTGGGCTCCTTCGAGGAGCCTGTGTGGAAGTGGGCACAGATGCCTCAGGGCAGCAGTGCCACCACCTGGCCAGCCGCAGCCTCGCAGCCTCCACGTCGGAAGTCCCGGCATCCAGCCGTCTGCCGGAGGGGCTGGTGGTCCAGCCCATGCCTGCCAACATCTGGTGACAGGGCAGACAAAGCCCATGCCCCAGGGTGGCTGTGGGGAGTGCCCAGGGACAGCTGGGGGATGGTGGGTGCCCGGCGGGCAGGTCTCGTGGAGGAGAGCCCATGGGTGGTCTGCAGATGTGCCAGGAGCTGAGGGAGAAAGGAGACATCTCTCGGGAAGGTCTATAGGACAGTGTCCTGGGATGTCCTTTGGAACAGCTAACAGGCCCCCCGAGACACGATGTGGTCTACACCACCCAACCTCATGCCAATGGCTCTTGCCAAAGGCTCTTGGAGAAGCCGGGTGCAGGGATGACGTGGTTCTCATGGGGTGACATCTGTGTGGAGACAGCTAGTTACGGCGCTGGCTGCATTTTCCAAACACCCCTGGGTCAGGCCCTAAACAGGTGGCTCTTTCTTCTAATTGCTAAAACGTCAAGACTTGCAGCTTGTCATTCTACCAATGGGGCACATGGCAGCACCAACTAGAGAATGAAACACTCACGCCCCTGCCCTCCCCGCTCCAGGGAAAGGGCAGCTCAGCCACCACAGTTCCAGGGCTGGCTCTGCACATCCATGAGGTGCTCTCGGCCTGTGGGCCGTGGAGGTGCGATTGCTTTGTTTTCTAAGGCAGGATGTGCCGAGAGCCACTTTTGCCTCACCTGTGGGGCCTTGTGTTGGGGGGTGGAAGGGCAATGGTGGCAGTCCCCTTCCTTGCATCGGATGGCGAATGGGCAGTGGTGACCTTCCCCCTCATTGCATCGAGGGGCGGATGGGCAGAGGTGGCCGTCCCCTTCATTGCGTCGAGGGGCAGATGGGCAGAGGTGGCCATCACCCTCATTGTGTCGGGGGCAGATGGGCAGTGGTGACCGTCCCCCTCATTGCATTGAGGGGCGGATGGGCAGAGGTGACCGTCCCCTTCATTGTATTGTGTCCACACAGCCCCACGCTGGGTAACAGATGAAAATCACTATTACTTTAAAGTTGACCCTGGGGGCTTAGGCCATGCTTCCACAAGGCCACTGGACTTCTGAAAAAATGGGCCACCATCCTGATCTACCTGTTGTCTTGTTTCTGTGATGTCAAAAAGCCTCCTACCCCTGGACGAACCGGCGGGTGGGTGGGTCTGTCGTGGCTGCACTGCCTCCCTCTCTGCAGCTCCAGCACAGAGCCCCTTCCTCCTGCTGCAGGGGCACCTCCCCCTCCTCCTTTCTCTCCACCACCAACTCTGCCCTTCTCTGCAAAAGAAGTCGGCATTTTCCATGTGTTCAGCTACCGAGAAAAAAGGTTCTATTAATATAAATTGTTAATTAGGATTGTTATCATTATTTTGTGTTCCATGCAGATTAGTCATTTGAACCTTGTTCTTTTTCACAGAGAAGGAAACCAAAGAGAACAACATGGTTTCTCTCATAAATTATCGAAGGCCTTAGTAGGTGTTACTACCACCGGAGATGCAGATCGAGCATTTGGCGTGGAAAAAATAATAAGATACCAGTCAGTGTTGACCAGGTGCTGGGGGAGCCAACATTCATCCTAATGTCTCTGTGCGAGGCAGTGAACTGCTGTCCTACCATGCTCTGTCCTTATGGCACCTGACCTGGGGGTGGGCTGTGGACAGCTGCGGCCTGGGGCGGCCAATGCATACGGCGTGGACTCCATCACGCCTCATGGACACAATGGCTCTCTCTGGATTTGTGAGCAGTATGTTGCCTCATCTTTAATGTGTGAAGGTATTTTTTCCTACCATTTAAGCTACTTTTAAAAACAGCGTTATTGAGGTATAGTCACGTTCAATAAGCTACACATATTTAACATGTGTTATTTGGTAATAAGTGTGGACACGTGTGTCTAACTGTGAAGCCATCCCTGCCGTGAAGAGGGTGAATCCTCCTTCCCTCTAAAACTTTTCTCTGTTCCTTCCTGGCCCTCCTTCCACTTTTGTCCCCAGAAAACCCCTGCTCTAACTGTGCATCCGTCCGTGTCTCTCATCTGTGAATGGAATTGGAAAGTTAGTGCTTTTCTGTGGGCCTGGCTTCTAACTCAGCACAGTGACTTTGTGGCCTCTCACTCGGCAGCATGCGGCAGTGGCTCGTTCCTTTCACCGCAGGGCAGAGCTCTACTGAGCACACGTGCTGGGTTATCATTCATCAGTTCATGGATATTTAGGTTGTTTCTGGATTTTGGCTATTACAAATATAACTAAAATGAACATCTGCACACAGTGTTTGTATGGGCACGTGCTTGCATTTCTATTGGGTAAATATCTAGGCACTGAGAAGTTGGATCATACGATAGCTCACATGTTTAACTTCTTAAGAGATTGCAAGCCAGATGCGGTGGCTCACGCCTGTAATCCCAGAACTCTGAGAGGCCAAGACGGGTGGACTGCTTGAGCTCAGGAGTTGGAGACCATTCTGGGCAACATGGTGAAATCTCATCTCTCTAAAAAATAAAATAAAATAAAATAAAATAAAATAAAATAAAATAAAATAAAATAAAATAAGCCAGGTGTGGTGGCGTATGCCTGTGGTCCCAGCTACTTGGGAAGCTGAGGTGGGAGGATCGCTTGAGTCTGGGAGGTGGAAGTTGCAATAAGCTGAAATTGTGCCACTGCACTCCAGTCTGGGGGACAGACAAGACCTCATTTTTTATTTTACTTTCCCATTAGTGACATATAAAAGTTCTGGTTCTTCTAAAACTTCATTAACACTGGGTAGGATCTGTCTTAGTATAGACCATTTCAAAGGTGTGCAGCTATATCTCGGATGGTGTTAATTTGCAATTTAAAAATAACCAGTCATGTGAGTGCTTGCTATCTGTATGTCTTTTTGGGTGAAATGTTGAAATATTTTGCCCATTTTTTTTAAAACCTGGGCTGTTTGCTTTTGTGATATTGAGTTTTGAAAGTTCTTTAATTGTTCTGTATACAAGTTCTGTCACCTTTGAAACTTCCACTTCAAAGTGCCCTGAGGTGCTGCTGCAGGCCGGATGCCTGGATTGAAGGGGGACTGGCGAGCGGCTTCTTCAACCTTCTAATGGGTGGTTTAGTGCCATGGACGCAGCCCCTGGAAGCTGTGTGATCAGGCGGTGACTACCTTCTGGTTACGCATTTCAGACATGCATGGCCCCAGCTGGGCCACATGCTATGGAACACGCCACGAGGACAGAGGCCACCCCGGAGGCTCCCAGGGATGGTGCAGTAGGAGGCTGGGTGGGCGCTGCATGGGACCCTCAGGCAGTGGTCACATGGAAGCCTGAGTTGGCATGGCTGGGTGCTGGTGCTCACAGGCCACGCGTGTCAGTGGGGTCTGGCTTCCTGCCCCTGATGCCCAGCTGTCCCCTGCATGTGGGAGCGAGGGAGGAGGGAGGAAGACACCCTCGTGGTTCCAGCCTCCCGTGCCAGCTGTGTCCGGGGCAGGAGCGTCTCCCATTGGCCTTGTCCTTGGGGCTACCAAGTGCAGACTCAGAGCACTGAGTGGCATGGACACCGGTCGTGGGCTCCCGGCTGCTTTCGCTTCATCTTGTGAGTTTTCTAATGGATCGTTTAAAAAACTTTGGGAGAGTCACCAAACACCACCATCTACATTTCAGGAAGTTGAATTGCAGGTGCCATTTGTAGCAGTGTGAAAGCCAGGAGAGACAGTCATCCTCGGGATGAACCCAGAACGTCCTCTGAAGAAGGCAGGTGCTGGCCAGTGCCCCAGCCTTCCTGCTGAGCCCCTTACTTCTCTCTGCAATGTGACCAGAGGCAGCACCACCTCCCCGCCCAGCCTCGGGTCTCACCACGGCTGCTGAAGTGCGTCGTGCTGGTGTTTCAAAGAGAAAAGTGGAGATGGTTTGAGCTTGATGGGCACAGTCGCAGGAACCAACGCTGAGGCACAAACTACTTTAAAATTCAACACATTTAATATTTTCCTATTTTCCTGGGGAATTCTCTTGACCTCTTACCTTACTTAGGTTTTTCATCTTCTTCTTTTTTTGTTTTTTTGTTTTGTTTTGTTTTGAGATGGAGTCTTGCTCTTGTTGCCCAGGCTGGAGTGCAGTGGCACGATCTCGGCTCACTGCAACCTTCACCTCCCGGGTTCAAGCGATTCTCCTGCCTCAGCATCCCAAGCAGCTGGGACTACAGGCGCCCGCCACCATGCCCAGCTAATTTTTTGTACTTTTAGTAGAGACGGGGTTTCACCGTGTTAGCCAGGATGGTCTCGATCTCCTGACCATGTGATCCACCCGCCTCGGCCTCCCAAAGTGCTGGGATTACAGGCGTGAGCCACCGTGCCCGGCCGCAGGAAGATAAGTTTTATGGCGTCAGTGAGGGAGTAAACAGCATGCCGCTCTGGGCTCCTTTGTGCAGTGCTGCTCAGAACGCTCTTCCAGGGCATCCTCACGGCAGGTGCCCCATCCCCCACGGCGGCACCCAAAACACACCTGCCCTGCTCTCCACCATTTGCCTGGGACTGAGGGGTTTCCTGGGACTGAGGGGGTTCCCGGGACTGAGGGGGTTCCCGGGACCGAGGGGGTTCCCGGGACCGAGGGGTTTCCCGGGACTGAGGGGTTCCCGGGACTGAAGGGTTCCCGGGACTGAGGGGTTCCCGGGACTGAGGGGTTTCCCGGGACTGAGGGGGTTCCCAGGACTGAGGGGTTCCCGGGACTGAGGGGTTTCCCGGGACTGAGGGGCTCCCGGGACTGAGGGGTTTCCTGACTGAGGGGCTCCCGGGACTGAGGGGTTCCCGGGACTGAGGGGTTCCCGAGACTGAGGGGGTTCCCGGGACTGAGGGGGTTCCTGGGACTGAGGGGTTTCCCGGGACTGAGGGGTTTCCCGGGACTGAGGGGGTTCCCGGGACTGAGGGGTTCCCGGGACTGAGGGGGTTCCTGGGACTGAGGGGTTTCCCGGGACTGAGGGGTTTCCCGGGACTGAGGGGGGTTCCTGGGACTGAGGGGTTTCCCAGGACTGAGGGGTTTCCCGGGACTGAGGGGCTCCCGGGACTGAGGGGTTTCCTGACTGAGGGGCTCCCGGGACTGAGGGGTTTCCAGGACTGAGGGGTTCCCGGGACTGAGGGGTTCCTGGGACTGAGGGGTTTCCCGGGACTGAGGGGGTTCCTGGGACTGAGGGGCTCCCGGGACTGAGGGGTTTCCTGACTGAGGGGTTTCCCGGGACTGAGAGGTTTCCCGGGACTGAGGGGTTTCCCGGGACTGAGGGGGTTCCCGGGACTGAGGGGTTCCCGGGACTGAGGGGTTTCCTGGGACTGAGGGGTTTCCCGGGACTGAGGGGTTTCCTGACTGAGGGGCTCCCGGGACTGAGGGGTTTCCCGGGACTGAGGGGCTCCCGGGACTGAGGGGTTCCCAGGACTGAGGGGTTCCCGGGACTGAGGGGGTTCCTGGGACTGAGGGGTTTCCCGGGACTGAGGGGTTTCCCGGGACTGAGGGGGGTTCCTGAGACTGAGGGGTTTCCCGGGACTGAGGGGTTTCCCGGGACTGAGGGGCTCCCGGGACTGAGGGGTTTCCTGACTGAGGGGCTCCCGGGACTGAGGGGTTTCCAGGACTGAGGGGTTCCCGGGACTGAGGGGTTCCCGGGACTGAGGGGTTTCCCGGGACTGAGGGGGTTCCTGGGACTGAGGGGCTCCCGGGACTGAGGGGTTTCCTGACTGAGGGGTTTCCCGGGACTGAGAGGTTTCCCGGGACTGAGGGGTTTCCCGGGACTGAGGGGGTTCCCGGGACTGAGGGGTTCCCGGGACTGAGGGGTTTCCTGGGACTGAGGGGTTTCCCGGGACTGAGGGGTTTCCTGACTGAGGGGCTCCCGGGACTGAGGGGTTTCCGGGACTGAGGGGTTCCCGGGACTGAGGGGTTCCCGGGACTGAGGGGGTTCCTGGGACTGAGGGGCTCCCGGGACTGAGGGTTTCCTGACTGAGGGGTTTCCCAGGACTGAGAGGTTTCCCGGGACTGAGGGGTTCCCGGGACTGGGGGGTTCCCGGGACTGAGGGGTTTCCCGGGACTGAGGGGGTTCCCGGGACTGAGGGGGTTCCTGGGACTGAGGGGTTTCCCGGGACTGAGGGGCTCCCGGGACTGAGGGGTTTCCTGACTGAGGGGTTTCCCGGGACTGAGAGGTTTCCCGGGACTGAGGGGGTTCCCGGGACTGAGGGGGTTCCTGGGACTGAGGGGTTTCCCGGGACTGAGGGGTTTCCCGGGACTGAGGGGCTCCCGGGACTGAGGGGTTTCCTGACTGAGGGGTTTCCCGGGACTGAGGGGGTTCCCGGGACTGAGGGGTTCCCGGGACTGAGGGGTTTCCCGGGACTGAGGGGGTTCCCGGGACTGAGGGGTTTCCCGGGACTGAGGGGTTCCCGGGACTGAGGGGGCTCCTGGGACTGAGGGGGTTCCCGGGACTGAGGGGTTCCCGGGACTGAGGGGGTTCCCGGGACTGAGGGGTTCCCGGGACTGAGGGGTTCCCGGGACTGAGGGGGTTCCCGGGACTGAGGGGTTTCCCGGGACTGAGGGGTTCCTGGGACTGAGGGGTTCCCGGGACTGAGGGGGTTCCTGGGACTGAGGGGCTCCCGGGACTGAGGGGTTTCCTGACTGAGGGGTTTCCCGGGACTGAGGGGGTTCCCGGGACTGAGAGGTTTCCCGGGACTGAGAGGTTTCCCGGGACTGAGGGGGTTCCCGGGACTGAGGGGTTTCCCGGGATTGAGGGGCTCCCGGGACTGAGGGGTTTCCGGGACTGAGGGGTTCCCGGGACTGAGGGGGTTCCCGGGACTGAGGGGTTCCCGGGACTGAGGGGTTTCCCGGGACTGAGGGGGTTCCCGGGACTGAGGGGTTTCCCGGGACTGAGGGGCTCCCGGGACTGAGGGGTTTCCTGACTGAGGGGTTTCCCGGGACTGAGAGGTTTCCCGGGACTGAGGGGGTTCCCGGGACTGAGGGGGTTCCTGGGACTGAGGGGTTTCCCGGGACTGAGGGGTTTCCCGGGACTGAGGGGCTCCCGGGACTGAGGGGTTTCCTGACTGAGGGGTTTCCCGGGACTGAGGGGGTTCCCGGGACTGAGGGGTTCCCGGGACTGAGGGGGTTCCCGGGACTGAGGGGTTTCCCGGGACTGAGGGGGTTCCCGGGACTGAGGGGTTTCCCGGGACTGAGGGGTTCCCGGGACTGAGGGGGCTCCTGGGACTGAGGGGGTTCCCGGGACTGAGGGGTTCCCGGGACTGAGGGGGTTCCCGGGACTGAGGGGTTCCCGGGACTGAGGGGTTTCCCAGGACTGAGGGGTCCCCGGGACTGAGGGGTTTCCCGGGACTGAGGGGTTTCCTGATTGAGGGGCTCCCGGGACTGAGGGGTTTCCGGGACTGAGGGGTTCCCGGGACTGAGGGGTTCCCGGGACTGAGGGGGTTCCTGGGACTGAGGGGTTCCCGGGACTGAGGGGGTTCCTGGGACTGAGGGGCTCCCGGGACTGAGGGGTTTCCTGACTGAGGGGTTTCCCGGGACTGAGAGGTTTCCCGGGACTGAGGGGGTTCCCGGGACTGAGGGGTTCCCGGGACTGAGGGGTTTCCCGGGACTGAGGGGTTTCCCGGGACTGAGGGGTTCCTGGGACTGAGGGGGTTCCCGGGACTGAGGGGTTTCCCGGGACTGAGGGGTTCCTGGGACTGAGGGGTTCCCGGGACTGAGGGGGTTCCCGGGACTGAGGGGCTCCCGGGACTGAGGGGTTTCCTGACTGAGGGGCTCCCGGGACTGAGGGGTTTCCAGGACTGAGGGGTTCCCGGGACTGAGGGGTTCCCGGGACTGAGGGGTTTCCCGGGACTGAGGGGGTTCCTGGGACTGAGGGGCTCCCGGGACTGAGGGGTTTCCTGACTGAGGGGTTTCCCGGGACTGAGAGGTTTCCCGGGACTGAGGGGTTTCCCGGGACTGAGGGGGTTCCCGGGACTGAGGGGTTCCCGGGACTGAGGGGTTTCCTGGGACTGAGGGGTTTCCCGGGACTGAGGGGTTTCCTGACTGAGGGGCTCCCGGGACTGAGGGGTTTCCGGGACTGAGGGGTTCCCGGGACTGAGGGGTTCCCGGGACTGAGGGGGTTCCTGGGACTGAGGGGCTCCCGGGACTGAGGGTTTCCTGACTGAGGGGTTTCCCAGGACTGAGAGGTTTCCCGGGACTGAGGGGTTCCCGGGACTGGGGGGTTCCCGGGACTGAGGGGTTTCCCGGGACTGAGGGGGTTCCCGGGACTGAGGGGGTTCCTGGGACTGAGGGGTTTCCCGGGACTGAGGGGCTCCCGGGACTGAGGGGTTTCCTGACTGAGGGGTTTCCCGGGACTGAGAGGTTTCCCGGGACTGAGGGGGTTCCCGGGACTGAGGGGGTTCCTGGGACTGAGGGGTTTCCCGGGACTGAGGGGTTTCCCGGGACTGAGGGGCTCCCGGGACTGAGGGGTTTCCTGACTGAGGGGTTTCCCGGGACTGAGGGGGTTCCCGGGACTGAGGGGTTCCCGGGACTGAGGGGTTTCCCGGGACTGAGGGGGTTCCCGGGACTGAGGGGTTTCCCGGGACTGAGGGGTTCCCGGGACTGAGGGGGCTCCTGGGACTGAGGGGGTTCCCGGGACTGAGGGGTTCCCGGGACTGAGGGGGTTCCCGGGACTGAGGGGTTCCCGGGACTGAGGGGTTCCCGGGACTGAGGGGGTTCCCGGGACTGAGGGGTTTCCCGGGACTGAGGGGTTCCTGGGACTGAGGGGTTCCCGGGACTGAGGGGGTTCCTGGGACTGAGGGGCTCCCGGGACTGAGGGGTTTCCTGACTGAGGGGTTTCCCGGGACTGAGGGGGTTCCCGGGACTGAGAGGTTTCCCGGGACTGAGAGGTTTCCCGGGACTGAGGGGGTTCCCGGGACTGAGGGGTTTCCCGGGATTGAGGGGCTCCCGGGACTGAGGGGTTTCCGGGACTGAGGGGTTCCCGGGACTGAGGGGGTTCCCGGGACTGAGGGGTTCCCGGGACTGAGGGGTTTCCCGGGACTGAGGGGGTTCCCGGGACTGAGGGGTTTCCCGGGACTGAGGGGCTCCCGGGACTGAGGGGTTTCCTGACTGAGGGGTTTCCCGGGACTGAGAGGTTTCCCGGGACTGAGGGGGTTCCCGGGACTGAGGGGGTTCCTGGGACTGAGGGGTTTCCCGGGACTGAGGGGTTTCCCGGGACTGAGGGGCTCCCGGGACTGAGGGGTTTCCTGACTGAGGGGTTTCCCGGGACTGAGGGGGTTCCCGGGACTGAGGGGTTCCCGGGACTGAGGGGGTTCCCGGGACTGAGGGGTTTCCCGGGACTGAGGGGGTTCCCGGGACTGAGGGGTTTCCCGGGACTGAGGGGTTCCCGGGACTGAGGGGGCTCCTGGGACTGAGGGGGTTCCCGGGACTGAGGGGTTCCCGGGACTGAGGGGGTTCCCGGGACTGAGGGGTTCCCGGGACTGAGGGGTTTCCCAGGACTGAGGGGTCCCCGGGACTGAGGGGTTTCCCGGGACTGAGGGGTTTCCTGATTGAGGGGCTCCCGGGACTGAGGGGTTTCCGGGACTGAGGGGTTCCCGGGACTGAGGGGTTCCCGGGACTGAGGGGGTTCCTGGGACTGAGGGGTTCCCGGGACTGAGGGGGTTCCTGGGACTGAGGGGCTCCCGGGACTGAGGGGTTTCCTGACTGAGGGGTTTCCCGGGACTGAGAGGTTTCCCGGGACTGAGGGGGTTCCCGGGACTGAGGGGTTCCCGGGACTGAGGGGTTTCCCGGGACTGAGGGGTTTCCCGGGACTGAGGGGTTCCTGGGACTGAGGGGGTTCCCGGGACTGAGGGGTTTCCCGGGACTGAGGGGTTCCTGGGACTGAGGGGTTCCCGGGACTGAGGGGGTTCCTGGGACTGAGGGGCTCCCGGGACTGAGGGGTTTCCTGACTGAGGGGTTTCCCGGGACTGAGGGGTTCCCGGGACTGAGGGGTTTCCTGACTGAGGCGTTTCCCGGGACTGAGAGGTTTCCCGGGACTGAGGGGTTTCCTGGGACTGAGGGGTTCCCGGGACTGAGGGGCTCCCGGGACTGAGGGGTTTCCCGGGACTGAGGGGGTTCCTGGGACTGAGGGGCTCCTGGGACTGAGGGTTTTCCTGACTGAGGGGTTTCCCGGGACTGAGAGGTTTCCCGGGACTGAGGGGCTCCCGGGACTGAGGGGTTCCCGGGACTGAGGGGTTCCCGGGACTGAGGGGTTTCCTGGGACTGACGGGTCTCTTGGGACTGAGGGGGTTCCTGGGACTGGGACTTTCAGTGCGCAACCCAGGAAAGTCCCCGACAAACTTAGTCCAAGTAGCCGCCGCCTTCCTCGGCACCTTTGTGAAATTTCCGACCTCGCCCAAGGCCGATTCTGCTGCTTCCTCTTCCCTGGCCTGCCTGTCCTCATCTACTCACGGTCGTGATCTAACAGGGTGCACATTTCCTGCGTGTCCGCCCGTCTTGCTTCACCAGCACACGAGCTCCCAGCAAGCAGGGACTTTTTCCTGCTGTGCTCAGAGCCTTCTCCTCGGCTGCTGGTCTTGTGCCAGGCACTTTGTTGGAGTTCAATCAATATTCCTCAAGTGGACAAAAGTTGGTATTATAATCCCTCTCCCCAGGGTGCATTCAGGCCACCCCAAACCAGGCAGGGGCTACTCAGAAACAACTGATCCTCCTCTGACACAAAAGGGCACACCTTCCGGGATTTGCCATTCTCGCAGAATTTCTCCTGATGTTCGAGCCTCCATCGTGGTGTGTCCCAGGAGGAAGGCAATGCTCCTGGAGGACCCACGTCCAGCCCCGGAGCTGCCCTCCTGGGTTCAGATGCCTCCGGTTCAAACAGTCCCCATGGACGCCCACGGAGTTGGGTGGGAAGTGTTCTCAGAGCCTCCCTCGATGGGAATTTCTAAGGAAACAGGTTTTCAGAGACTTACTTTTAGCAGAAGCAGCTAAAACATGGTATTGTATGACTCCCTACTCATCTATGAATTAGAACTTGAGGAATTCTCTTTGTAAAAGTTCCTTGGACTCAACAGTAGGATACTAAGTGGACATATTTATCTGTTGTTCATTGGTTTGTTCAGGGTGAGCTGGAATATGTAATACCAAGTAAATGATAAAGATCCGCACAGCTCAGGAAGGTAGTGTCACCTTCCAACTGCCTGTTTTCAATGCACTGAAAAGAAGCTTCTGAGCACCATCGCCTCATCCTCCAGCGGCCCCAGCTCCCCACCTGCAGCAAACACCTGCACACAGGTCCCCCACACACCCTCTGGCCCTGCAGTCCCATCCTCAGGGTTGTGCACACAGGTGCCCCCACACACCCTCTGGCCCTGCAGTCCTATCCTCAGGGTTGTGCACACAAGTGCCCCGTACGCACCCTCTGGCCCTGCAGTCCCGTCCTCAGGGTTGTGCACACAGGTGCCCCCGCACGCACCCTCTGGCCCTGCAATCCTGTCCTCAGTGTTGTGCACACAGGTGCCCCCGCACGCAACCTCTGGCCCTGCAGTCCTGTCCTCAGGGTTGTGCACACAGGTGCCCCCACACACCCTCTGGCCCTGCAATCCTGTCCTCAGCGTTGTGCATTCTGAAGGATAAGTGGGAGGGGGCATGTCCTGGGACCCCCATCTGCAGGAATGTGATGAGCTTCAGGAAGGGCAGCCATATGAAAGCCTCCCTCTATGAAAAAGGAGTGCCCAGGAGACATCAGCTATGTTTAGAAGCAGGAGGAAGATGAAAAACCAAAGTGTTAAAACAGGCATACGCAGGAAACCCGCTTTCTCCCCTTCCCTGGGTTGATGATGACCGGGACAGTCACGCTTGGATGAAAGGTCTCCCTGGAGGTTGTCTTCACCATAGGCCGGGGTCCCGGAGTGTGCGGAGCGATCATGGTGGGCACTGATCTGAGGAGAACAGGCCGCCCGGCCGAGGAGAGGGGCCTCTCCAGGTGAGTCCTCCAGGCCTGCGGGGAGGTGAGTGAGAGCCTCTCTGGGCTAGTGGACACGCCTTCTTTTCTACAGGGTGGTCATTTCACATTGTGTGGCTGCAAACACCCATCTTTGCCTGTGGGCAAGCAAACAGATTTGGAAAGGGGGTCTAGCTTGGCTTCCCAGGGCATTGGCAGAAGGCAGGTGACCCTGCGTGTTTGAGAAAACAACCACAATTCATATTAACACCAATGATGCCACGTTTCCTAATGTGCTTCAGCGACAAACAATAGGAAGTTGTAAGTCCTCTGGGAACTGGCCAGCGCCTTAGTATCAGCTGTAAAAGTGACTTCCTATCTTTTGTGTGGGTCACACAAAGGAATGAGAGGAAATTAGTGATTGTGATAGCCAGTTCTTCCCATTCAAATGAAGAAATGGGGTTTCCAAACAGACACATACCACTTTTAAGCTTTCCTGAACAGCCATGTGGAGCAGATAGGGTTCTAAATTCTCATGCTTTGGGCTATTTTGGTGGTACCTTTATGAAAGAATAAAAGCATAGCATGTTCTTTGGTGCACATATATTTCCTTTAAGTAAGAGCCCGCCGGGACCACAGCGAGACTCCTGTTCTCAAGCCCCAGCCACAGCATCAGCATCGCGTGGACCCAGGCTCTGGAAATGAGAAAACAACTGTGTCAGCTCATGCGGCTGCAACACTTCTGATTTTCAAGGCTAAAAAAGTTGCTTTTCTAGAAATACATATGAAAGAAAATTCTGTTTCCAATAACCACCACCACACACCCCTAATGTGCATTTTGAAATTCCCTTGTTCAGGGTATATTGACTGGCATTAGATATATTGGTATATACAGAACATGCAAAATGATATCACTGTCTGTATCCCCCGATGCTGTGGACACCTCTAAAGATCTCGTCTGTTATGCTTCTCCTGGGTGTGTTTGGTGGAGAAGTGTGTAGAGGGAATTCAGTGTGGAACCTGAAAGCATAGGCTTCGAACTCAGGCAGAACTTGGATTTGAATCTTGTCTTTCATATAAATTATCTGTGTGACCATGGGCAACAGACTTAAAACTCTAATCTTCATGTTTCTCCTCTGCTGAGAGAAAAACACTCACTTCAGAAAGGTGCTGTGAAAGCTCTCACAGATGATGCAGAGCCTGTGGTTACCAAATATCAGCCATGATTGTTATTTGATTAATACTATCTGCTGTTCTCATTATATGAGGATGCATTATGGTGATTTTCAGTGAGATAAAATCACAGAAATTAAACAGTTGGGCTCTGCTCCTGGGCTTGGGGTGTCAGGAGGCCATCAGAGCTGAGAATGGGCGTCCATCCATCCTGGGCACTCTGGCAGCACATAGGCCCGGGGTGCCAACCTCTGCGGCTCTGCAGTGTGGAGCGTGAGGTTGAGGGGCTCCCAAAGCCGGCTTTGCCTTGGCAAAGGTCATGGATGCCCACTGCATCCTTCCCAGTTGCAGGTGAGGCTCCAGCAGCAGCCAGAGTGTGAGGGGAGTGGCATGAATAGGGCAGATGAGTCTCACAGAGCACCAGAGGGGACAGCTCCTAGAAGACCATGTGTGTGTGGGCACACGCGGCAGCCGCCCTCACTGGCCCAATGCACGCCAAGCCCTCTGAGCCCTGGCCTGGCCCAGATGACCCGCTTTAGGGCTGGCCCTGCCTCCACAGATGCGTGTTGGGTGCAGCTGGCTGGCTTCCCTGGGTGGTGTCAGAGCCCCATCTCCTATCCGCATCTCTGCAGCTCCTTTCCACCTTCCTCTCCTGGCTTCAGATACGGCTCTGAGGAAACCGGACCCTCACACCTCCATGAGCACTGCGCCTCTTTCTCAATGCTTCTTTGAACCTTTGCCGTGGACTGAGAGGGATTCTTTTGTGCTGACTGCAAATTTCTGAAACAAGCTCATGCAAATTTCCCACATTCTGCCTTTTACCAATCAGCTCACTCCTTCTCTAATTTCAGGCCAAACCCCAGGATCATGCAGAATGAGACAAAAGGTGGCGACTGAGGAGGCACGTCACCCACAAAGGTGGCGCTTCAGCCTCTGGGGCTTCAGGGGTGAGGCCATTTCTTGAACGCAGGTGATTTAGGAATCTGTTTTCATCCACCCGATAAAATGTACTAATCCCAAGAGAAAGACCTCATCCAACCTGGCTTTGATCTATTAGGGAGAACTTCTGGGATATTCTTTATTGCCCAGGTGATATGAAGAACAGCATGACATGGTGCCGAAGAGCAGTTACATGGACATTAGCATGGAGCACAGTGCCAGGCCTCTTTCTGTGGGCAGCAGGGCTCCATCCACACCCCTCCAGGCACCACTGGGACTTCCAAAATGGGGGTCTTCACTGCAGCAGGCTTCAGGGCTGTGGTGTTCATGGCTGTGGTCTTTGGGTTTGGCTGTGATGTTCATGGTCGTGGTATTCTGGGCTGTGGTCTTTGGGACTGTGGTGTTCATGGTCATGGTATTTAGGGATGTGGTGATCATGGTTGTGGAGATCGTAGTTGTGGTGTTCATGGCTGTGGTGATCATGGCTGTGGTGATCGTGGTTGTGATGTTCATGGTCATGGTATTCCGAGCTGTGGATCTTCACAGCCGTGCTCCTGGCTTTGGTCTTCAGGGCTATGTTTCTCATGGCTGAGATGGTCAGGAGGCCACATTTCTGGCTCTTCCTCCTTCTCCTCTTTGTTGGCATTGGCGGCTGCCCTGACCTTGCCCTGCCATGCATACTTCTTCCACTGTCTTCCAAGCCACCAGTCTGTGAGTAATTAGATGGGCAGGTGATGAAATCCTGGAAGACAGAAAGTCCTGATCCTCAAATGAGCACCATACACTGGACCCCCCAAGCAGCACAGTAAAGATCACGCCCAATTCCGAATCAGAAGACTCAAGATCCTTGCTTCTTAGATGCAAATAAGGTGGCTTAAAGTGATGGCTGAGAGCTCCTGATGTGAAGTTTAAGAGCCTGGACTCAAATCTTGACTGTGCTGCAGCAAGTTACGTGGCTTTGGGGAACTTAGCGCACCTCTCTCTGTGTCTTGTCTCATCTCCACAGGGTTGAAGAGAGCAATGACCTCCAGGGTTGTGAGGATTAAGTGAGATCATGGAAGGGCTCAGTCCTGTTAGAGCGTGAATCTTCTATATTTGTTAATTTTTACCTTTCATTTTGATCGTGATGTATTCCTAGTGCCAAGTGCACTGGTTTCTCAGAGTCACAGTTCCCCAGGCTTCTGGCTTCTCTGCCTCTACCTGTGGGGCTCAAGCCTGGCTTATGTGCTGGGCAGGGGGAGACTCGATGCCAACTCCTCCATTATCTTATTCTTCATTCTGTTAATTCAGGGTTCCTAAAACAGGCAAACAAACAAACGAAAGATTAAGCAAACAAAAAGTTTCCTTCTCCAGTACAAAAAAGAAAGAAAGAAAGAAAGAAGAAAGAAAGAAGAAAGAAAGAAAGAAAGAAAGAAAGAAAGAAAGAAAGAAAGAAAGAAAGAAAAGAAAGAAAGAAAGAGAAAGCAAGCTGCTGTGGGTCAGGTCCCATAAGTACGAGTTCAGAGTAATCAGTGCAGGGGTCCAGGCCTCTTTGTCCTTCCCTCCGCCTCCTGCTCCTGCGGGGACCACAGATGGAGCAGGGCAGGGCTGGACCAGGAGCCTCTGCCCAGGCATGGAGGGTGCACATCTCACCCTGGGATGTGGCCTGTGCAGGACCCAGGGCTCAGAAATGGGGTCCTTGCTTGCAGAGTTGCTGAAACTGAGACAGGCATGGTGGCCACTGAAATTGGGATCTGCAGTTCAGGCCAGGGGCCTGTGGAGCACTGGGTGGTGAGTGTGTAGTTTTGGTTATGAGTCACGGAAGTCAACATCCGGCCTCTCTGTGATGGTGTAGGCATGTGGTGAACAAGAAGGGCAGCAGCCCTGATGTCTCTTCTTCTCCACAGACCCACACTGGCTGAGGGTCTGGGCACATGGCACAGACGAAGTCCTTTCACTGCCAAGAAGCCTGAGCAATGGGTTCCTGCCCCTCACGGACCTGGAGCTGGGGAAGGAAGTGGAAAGGCACTGGCTTGGACGGAGAAAAGCCCCTCAACTGAGCCCCTAAGAAGGGGTCCCCAGTGGAGGTGTGGGGGCAGGCATGCAGATGTGGAAAGAGTGTGGCCAGCAGGGGCCGGAGTCCAAAGCGCAGCTCTCCCGAGGCTGCTCCTAGACGCCAGCCGGGTGAGGCCTTTATAATTGTCCGTGGCAGGGCCTGAAGGGTCCCATGAAGGATTTGGGGCTGGATCCAACTCCCAAGGCCAGGAGGGCAAACAGGGGATGTGGGAACAGGAGGGGCTGGCGTCTGCGGCTGGTGGCTGATGGGGGTCCTGCTGGATGATGGGGGCTGTTGGGGTGGGCCTGGCTTAGAGGGAAAGGGTTTGTTGCCATGCAAAGACCATCCAGGTCCTAAACACAGGGAGCAGAGACGGCGTTAACGAGTTTACACCCTCTATGTGAAGGAAGATGTCCAGGAGAGCCCAGAGTAGAAGTAAAATGTGGGGAAACCCATGGCCACGCTGCATCTCATCTCACGCATTTCCTCAACTGCGGAGCTCTTCTCCATTCGTCTGTCCATCTATCCATCCGTCCGTCCATCCATCCATTCATATCCACAAGGCACACAGAGCCCCTGCTCTGAGCTGGTGCTGCTCTGCAAGCTGAGATGCTTTGCTGAACCCCACCTTGAGCACACACTGCACCATCTTTGTCGTTTCTAACTGTCTCCCTACACAGTTAGTTTCGTGCCATGGTCAGTGCCGTGGAAAAGTCCATGTTCTGATGTTTTCACAGGTGCAGGTGCTTTGGCCTTCAGTCACGGATTCCACCAACGGCACAAGCGCCCTTTGCTCAGATGGACAGGGACGCTGGACACGTACCCCTCAGAAGGACACAGCGCAGCCTTGATCTCACCGTGGACCTAGACCTCCTGGCCGCAGGGCCCTGCTGACCTTAGTGCCTCCTTACGGGGGATCCAGCCCACGCGCCCCAGGAGAGAAGCCAGAGGAAGGAAGCTTCTGAGGCCGAGCTCCTCCTGCGAGGTGAACATTATGCCGCTGACGTGCCGGAGAAGCCAAAAACGCATGCAATTAACTCACAGTGGATTGATATTTTCCATTTTAAATTTTGTCTTAAAAAGTTTCAGAAGTGAATGTAAAGTCTCATAATTGAAAAATATGAAAATATGGAGAACATGGTGTGTTTTATTTTTATTCATCTGTTTGCTATCATAGCAACCCTGCTTTCCCTTCATCTTCACATGTGTTTATATACATATGTAAACACACGTATGACAAAATGCCGAATTTTCACATTTCATTGGTTAATTTTCATTTCTGACCAGCAAGGGGTCAGAAGCGTGTCCTCCCTGCAGGGACTCCCCGGATTTCTCAGCACCTCTGAGCAGGCTTGGTGTGACGCTGAGGAGGAGCAGCGTCTAAAGCCTTCCAGGCAAGAGAGGAGCATATCACCGTGCTCACTGTGGGTGCCCATCAGCCACATGGCGCCCAGGCCAGCCTGGCAGGCTGAGTGTTGGGTGTGGTGTGGATGTGTGGTCTCGCCGCCTGCCCCCGAGGCGCTGAGGTCTGGGCCTGGTGTGGACGTGTGGTCTCGCCGCCCGCCCCCGAGGCGCTGAGGTCTGGGCCTGGTGTGGACGTGTGGTCTCGCCGCCTACCCCTGAGGTGCTGAGGTCTGGGCCTGTGTTCCCACCACGGGTTGTGATGAGGCCCGTGGGAAGATCTGCTCAGCCCAGGTGCTTACAAGAGTGGTCACGTGGCCTTGGTCTGAGCCCCTGAGGATGCCGGCAGGAGGGCTAGAAGCCAGGCTGTCCATCCTGGTACACAGGGGGTCCTGTGGTGTTCTGCCAGGTGAGGCTTGGGGGTGCAGGATGGAAACCCTGGGATTTGGAGGGTTGGCGGTTTAAGGGCCAGGGCTCATCAGCCACTGGAAGTAGGTTGATACCTGGAATGTGCCTGACCTTCTGGGCTGGTCTCCACATTTTTGACTCTGATGCTGTTTGCGGGCGGAGCAGTGCTGGCTGAGAAGACATGGTGAACACTGAATGAGCGCGTTCTCTGCAGCAAAGTTGAGCCTCGGGCTTGGCATCTTTTAGCAAAAGATTTATGGTCCCATCTCAAATAACTTTGTGTAGCAGAATGCTGAATTTTCACGTTTTATTGGATAATTTTCATTTTGGGCTATTGGTCCGAAACTCGTGACAGAAAGATATCACTTGACGATAGTATCATTCATCAAGTAAGAGAGACTAATTATCTTATTTTGAATGTGGATTTAAATTCATTCACCCTGCAAGTCCCTAAATATTGGATTGTCGATTTGAAAAATTGACTATGCTTTTCATTTATGTTACACAGATCATATTAGACGCAACAGATGAGCCTCCACCCACGTTCTCAGGTGCACTTCTGCACCTCCTGCCATCGGGTTCTACTTGATTCAGACCCTGAACCATTTTGTGATTGGGAAAAAGTACCCTGGAAGACTCAGTACCTGTTAGCCTGATCCTGGGTTCCGTGGGGCTTAGCACTAAGTGGACGCCCAGGATATCATTGTGGACCCAGTGGCACTCCAGGAGTGCTGGCTGCCCGCGGCTCTAAGGGTGCTGATGCGGTCTCCTGCCCTGGTGCGTGACTCCATGTGCCAAGGCCACGCGCACCTCCCTCAGGCCCCTTTCTGACTCTGCTCCACTCCACGTTCTGTCATCTGCGCACCAGGCACCTGCTGAGCACCCACAAAGACATGGCCACCCCCTCCTAGGCATTGCACACGCTGAGGAGGGCTGTGGTAGGAACGAGACTCAGCCCCCTGACCACTGAGGGTCCTGTCCTGGGGATGTCCACACTTGCCTTCCGCACTGGTTCCTGGGGAAACCCCTGCCACCCTTCCCAGCCTCCTCCACAGGGTCCTGACCTCACGGACTCGGGCGTGGCCCATGCTCTTCGTGCCGTCGTCAAGTTCACCTCTCGACAGCTCAGAGTCCTGGTTCCCAGGCCCAGGTACTGGGACCTGTGTGGATTCCAACTGTAGAGACCACCCTGTGGACGCTGCTCCATCCAGCTGAATCTCCCTGGTACTCTCTGGCCGGAATCAACATGCTGCTGGCTACTCCCTTGGATGCCCGTCTCATCTGCTCACCTGTGGCCCTCAACAGTCACCCTCTGCTCCTGGGCCACTTTCTCCAGCACCTGTGCCCTCCAAGGCAGGAAAATTGTGTGCCTGGTCCTAGCTCCTTTATTTTCCTCTCCTGGCCCATTTTGAGGAACAATAAACTCACACCTGAAGCTTAAATTACTACACAAAAGGTGGTATTGTAATATTTTTCATTGTAATTGCAAAATTAATGTGGAATTATGGATCTAATTAATTTACACTTATTTGGATGAACAGCCCAATAGACAGAAGTTTGAAAGCTGAGAGGATACAGATTATTTTGCAAGTTACATTACCAAAGAATTTTGGAAATGGAAGATTCTTACATGAAAGGATTGTTAATGTGATTTTGCTTTAAAAATATAACCTGTATTGGCAATTAATGAAATAATATGTAATTTAGAACAACTAGTTAATTTCGTAGAAACATTTTGTCAGAATTTCTGAGAAAATAATGCTTTAAATCTTTTTAACTGATCAAAACACTTTAAAATATTTGAGAAACATCCAGCTGTGTGGAGATTGCTATGAGAAATTAGGCTCACCCAATTTTTTCTTTCCTCCATTACTCATGTGTGTGTGCCCAAGTACTATTAAAAACTTAAGTAGGAAGTGAATTATGTAACTGCTATTACTGTCAAACATCACACTTGTTTCGTCAGCCCTAAGAGGCCAACTATACGTCTGTGGTTATCATCCCCGCCTTCAGGCTGGGGTGAAAAATAGAAGGTTCTTGATAGAATTTCAACTTCCTCTTACTCTAACTTCACAGGTTTTTCTAAATCCCCTTAGAATGGTGGCAAGATTTCTGCCAGACCATCCACCTTTGCAAGGTAACGTTTCTTTCAGCCATGATTCATGCAATTGATTATGTTGTTATTTAATGGAAAGAGGTGGCTCCTATAATGTGCACTGAGGAGTTGGATTCTTGATATAATAAATACACCTGCTGCTGTGTGCAAGGAGACCAGCTGGATGCTGCTATTGCTGCCTGACAGCCCCGCCGTAGCTGCTTTTCACATCCTGCTTTGCTTCGCAGGGCAATCCTGGCCCCTCTTTATCTGTCTGAATAACTCAAAGGCAGTCCCCTCCTTCCAGAGGGCCTTCCTTGCTCAATTGCTTTATGATGCTAGTTTGTTTATAACAATATCACATTTCAGTGGGGAGCCAGCTGGCTACTCTTCAAATTAAGAACAGATACAGTACCTGTCTCTGCAGAGAGCAAGGAAACTGACCATTTAGATCAGCATTATTGTCCCTTTTAATTTTTAAATGACTCCTGAGATCATACGCTGCCTGCTAAGCCTTTGTTATTGGTTAATGAGCGCTGTGCTGGTCAACGGAAAGCTTTGTTAACGTCCCACTCATAACTTATAAACAAATTCAGCTAGAAGAAAATTTTTGTTTAACACATGGATGCCAGATATTTGAAGAGTTCTTAGGGATTCCAAACTGGAAACACTTGTTGTGGCTAATGTGAATATCAAATCTGGAGTGACAATTAGCGTTGGACAACGCTCTAAAAGGGGGCTTGGCAAGTCCCCGAGACTCTCTGCCAGCGCATTTTTCATGGATGGCAGCAAATTACTCCCCTGCTCTTCCATTCATCTTCCTCAGTTGCTGACCCTGATGGATTCCAGCCCTTCTGTGTCTGCACCGTCTTTCTGATGAAAAGGTACACATTATGCATAGACTGTCTAACTGATGTTTAAGCTGGTCTGATGTTTGTTAATCACAATTAAAAAAAGGGAACTCTATTAATTTGTGGTCAAAACTCTTGGACAGACAGTGATAACTTGAGAAATGTAGTTCCTCAAATTCCAGTCATATCCTACTCGTCTGCACTTCTGCCTTTGCTCTGCTATATTCTCTGTGAGTCATCCTGCTTCAGGTAGCATCTTCCTGTCTAGTGCAATCAGGGTAGGGTATACCGTTTTTGGTAGAACTGGGCCTTTACTCAGCCTCTAAAGGCCCAGTCTTTAAGCTGTTTTGGTTAAAGGCTGGGCCAGCACACAGAAAGCTAAGGTGCCACCTATACACTATGACTTAATGAGACCTAAATTACTCATATACCCCAGCATCTGTCTTAGCCTGCCAAGTGACAAAATTTCACTGCTACAGGTAAAGTCATCACTCCAGAAGACCCTATTTGAAAACACAACAACTAATTAGCAGGAGTGATACATTCACTCGTTGGTATCTATTAGTTCATTAGAGTGAAGCTGCCCTTAGATAATGAGATGTTGCAGGCTGGTGTTGCTACAGCTGTATGATTAAGGTGAAATGTGAAACATATGTCCATTGTTTTCTTAAGATTAAAAAGTACAATGTGCCATTTACAAATGGTGTTTGGCTGTAGTAGGGTAGTAGAGACCCCAAATGATCATGGTTTAAATAAATTAGATTTTTTTTTTCTCATGAGAAGTCTGGAGACAAGCAATTCAGGGCTGGTGCGGTAAGTCCACGACATCCCAAGCTCCTTTAATCTCTCGGTCCCGCCATCCTTAATGCCTCCTTGCTTTCTCTCCCCGAAGTTACCCTGTGGTCACAAGATGCTTGCTGACTTCTAGCCATCATTTTCACATTCCAGGTCAGAAGAAGAAAGATGTAGAGAAAGGCAAAGGGGGCACAAAATTCAAGTTCCTTTATTGGAAACTTCACTCTATCACTGTAAATTACATTTTTTGGAAATTCCTAGGTGCGAGACAGGCTGGAAATAAAGGTGATAGCTGGGCATATCGCCACTTCAAAGGAAATCAGGGAAAAGGTGGGAAATAGGAATGCCAGCCAAGGAACTCGCATTTCCTATCACAACAGAGGAGTACAAATTAGCGGAGGGACTCTGGCAATGTGCATTCTGCTTGGGGGAACTATCACCTGGGGAGAAGCTGATGTGGTCTATTCAAGTTGGATGCAGAGACCTATGCCAGAGCTCGTGCTTTAGCTGGGAAAGTGCCCCTGCTGTCTGTCCACAGGAGCCTTGGAGGACTTCCCCCTCTTCACGTGACAGGACCCAGGAGAGGCGTGCCAGCCTCAGCTCAGCTCGCTGCCAGCTGAAAACTTCAAAAGAACATCAAGATCAGCTTCTCACAGTGTTTGAAAGGATTTGAAATTCATTCTCACCCTACATAGACTTGAGCCACTCTGTGGTTACAATGACGTGTTTTGTTTCCCATATAACCTCACTTTCTAATTCTTAACAGTTTGGAATCCTCTTATTGGTGACTATCCCTGCAGTTTCTAAATTAACTGGTAAAATGTATGTCTGACAAGGAGGAAAGAAGAAAAAAGCCCGCTGAACTGAGCTGCAGGGGGCTTGGCCAACCCATTCTCTAGCTCAGATACTTTCTCTCACACAGAACCTCACTTCGCATGGGATCAGCAAATGGCCTGTTATTTCATGTCTCAGAAGGGGGCTTGGCCAACCCATTCTGTAGCTCAGACACTTTCACACGCCAACCTCACTTCAGATGGGATCAGCAAATGGCCTGTTATTTCATGTCTCAGAAGTGTGACACTGTTCACAAGTCACAAAAGCAACAAATGCTTGTTCACTAATGCAGGGAATCTACTGCATTTCTGCATTTTAAATAAAAATGATGAATCAAGATTTTCAACTGTCTACAGTGGGAGCTCACCTTATTACCCACCTAGACTGTCTACAGTGGGAGCTCACTTACTCCCCATCCCAGCTGTCTACACTGGGAGCTCACCTTAATATCCATCTCATCTATCTACACCGGGGAACTCATCTTCTTACCCACATCAGTGTCAACACTGGGAGTTTACTAGTTTACTTACTACTCATCTTGACTGTCTACACTGGGGAGTTTACCTTATTCCTTATCATGATTGTCTACACTGGATAATCCACTTACTCATCATCTTGATTTTCTACACTGGGGAGCTGGCCTTACTGCCCATCTGGACTGTGCACACGGCGGGGCTCACTCTACTCTCCCTCTGGACTGTCCACACTAGGGGCTGGCCTCACTCTTCAGTAATGCACCTGGCACCGAGGGGGCGGTGCCCGTGACAGTGGCAGTCACTCTGAAGTGGGAACTGGCTCTCCCGTGCTGCAAATGCCTCTGGAGCTCCCAGCAGTCCCCACGCTCCCCCATGAGCGGGTGAGTGGTGAGGCCGGAGAGGGGAGTCACGGCAGCCCTTGAGGACCATCCAGTTTGGAATCTGGGATACCAGGAGGTACTGCAGAGGGGCGGCTGGAGCCTGGGGGCTGAGGAGAGAGAGGAGACTGGACGACGTGTTTGGAGTATTCATGGTCAGCTTTGGGGGCTGCTTACCCTTCCCTCTTTTGAGAACAGTGCTGGCCTCTGGTCTCAGAAAGGAGCTGGCCTGTGGTCTGGCTGGAGGCTGGGGCACCCGTGCTGGGAAGGTTATGCTATTTCTGTGAACGGTGTCCCTTTGCTGGGACGTGCCCACAACTCCAGCTGTGAAACCAGAAGAGAACAGACTCGTTTGTCAAGACGTCAAATGACCTGAGCGACCCTTCAGCCTCAGGGATGTCTGTTGTAATCTTCAAAATGTGTGTTTGGCTTTCCCCCCTCTGAGCTAAACAAACTTTGGTTTCCCTTCCCTCTTGTCAATATATCATGCTTTATAGCACATTACATGATTAAAAAGAGAGAGAAACATCTAGTGCAAGAACCCTCTGTGTGGCCTCATAAAATATTAATGGATTCAGAGAGGAAATGTGAAATCAACATCCCCTTGCATGCACTGGCTTGTGCTGGGTCTGGTTTCGGCGGCGGTGAGGCCAGGCCTGCTCCTGGGAAGAACCTGCAGGAAAGGCCGGAGTCACTGCCAGTCCAGAAAATGCTGTGTGGTATGTGGGTGGTGTGTGGTGTGGGGTGTGGTGTGTGGTGTGTGGCATGGTGTGTGCTGTGGTGTGTGGTGTGTGTGGTGTGTGTGGTGTGGTGTGTGGTGTGTGGGTGGTGTGTGGTGTGTGCTGTGTGGGTGGTGTGTGGTGTGTGGTGTGTGTGTGGTGTGTGGGTGGTGTGTGGGTAGTGTGTGGTGTGTGGTGTGTGGTGTGGGGTGTGTGTGGTGTGTGGGTGGTCTATGGTGTGTGGTGTGTGGTGTGTGCAGTGTGGTGTGTGCTGTGTGGTGTGGTGTGTGCTGTGTAGTGTGTGCTATGCGCTGTGTGGTGTGTGCTGTGTGGTGTGTGCTGTGTGGTGTGTGCTGTGTGGTGTGTGTCTGGTGTGTGGTGTGTGTGCTGTGTGGTGTGTGCTGTGTGGTGTGCTGTGTGCTATGCGCTGTGTGGTGTGTGCTGTGTGGTGTGGTGTGTGCTGTGTGGTGTGTGCTGTGTGGTGTGTGCTGTGTGGTGTGTGTCTGGTGTGTGCTGTGTGGTGTGGTGTGTGCTGTGTGGTGTGTGCTGTGTGGTGTCTGGTGTGTGCTGTGTGGTGTGTGTGCTGTGTGGTGTGTGCTGTGTGGTGTGTGCTGTGTGGTGTGATCTCATACTCCAATGGAGACACGGAAGAGGGCAGACGGGCAATGTCCGTGCCACCCGGCGTGTAACGGAGCGTGTGCCTGGGAATCACGACCTTGAATCCCACTTAGGGGGCTCCCTGCAGCCTCCTCCACTGCGGCCCTGACACACGCGGGTGTGGTTCCCTCGGACGCTCCCTGGCTTCCCTCTGTCCTCGCCGCCGCCCGGGGCCAAGTGCTGCTCGGTGCCTCCTTCCCAGCCGCCCTCCCCAGCCCCAGGCCGGCCGGGGCGCCCTGCAGCCTCCCTAAGGGGCCTGCGCTTCCAGACGGGTTGCGTTTCCGACCTGCAACAGGCACAACAGGTCTGGAAGGACCCGAAGGTGACTTTAAAACAGTTTCCGAGAGGGTGGCCACGGTCAGGCACCGGGAAGATCCAGCTGAACTGAGAGGGAGGTGACCCGCCTGCAGGAGGCCTGGGCTCCGGGTCTGCACTGCGGTGGGTGCGGGGAGGGAAACGGCCGCGCGGGCCCCAGGCGCCAAGGGAAGGAGCGCCTCGCAGGGGCGCGAACCCAGGGCTGGGGGCCCTTCCCGTGTTTCAGCAAAGCCAGGCCGGTGGCCCCCGCTGAGCATCTGCGCAAAGCCCCGCGCCATGGGACTGAGGCTGAAGGACTCTTCATCCATCACTGCCCCGGCCAATGTGCCGCTCGGCGATCGGTGGGAAATTCAGGCCATCTGTCTCTCCCGCCCTGCCCGGTTCCCTTCAGGGTTCCCCACGGCCCCCTCTGCGGGGTTTGTCCCGTCCCTGGCGAGGCAGCCCTCGCAGCCGGGCCTGGAGAGAAGGCAAAGCAGCCTCGGAAGCCTCTCCTGGGAGTCGGTGACACAGGGAGCCCAGCCGGCCGGGAGCCGAGAGGCGATGCCACAGGGACAGAGGGGCCGCTCCGAGTAGAGCAGAACAAGGTGCAGCCCAGGCCCACCTGTCCACCCGATGGGAAATGCCGCTGCTCATGAAGGAAATCATGAATGCCGCAACGTAGCCAGGCCTGTGACGAGGAGGAAAAACTGCGGGATGTGGGATGTGAGATTAAAAACAAACAAACAAACACACACACACATTTCATCCTTGTAATCCCAGCACTTTGGGAGGCTGAGGTGGGCGGATCACCCGAGGTCAGGAATTCACAACCAGCCTGGCCAACCTGGTGAAACACTGTCTTTCCTAAAAATACAAAAAATTAGTCGGGCGTGATGGCAAGCGCCGTAATCCCAGCTACTCTGGAGGCTGAGGCAGGAGAATGGCTTGAACCCCCGAGGTGGAGGTTGCAGTGAGCCGAGATGGCACCACTGCACTCCAGCCTGGCGACAGAGCAAGACTCCATCTCAAAAAAGAGAAAGCACAACTCACACTCACACACAAACACCCTTACACATGCACTCACATATGCACACACATGCACACTCTCGCACTCTCAGGCACACATGGACCCACAAACACATGCACACACACACACACGCAGGCACACACAACCATGAACTCACATGCACAGTCACACACACGCACTCATACACCTGCGCACACACACGCATTCTCAATCACACATGAACATGCACTCAGACACACACATGCACTCACACATGTACACACTCCCAAACGCATTCACACTGATGCTCATGCACACATGCTCATACACAGACACACACACGCACATGCACTCACAGACACACATGCACCTCTACACACCCATGCACACTCACACATCCACTCACATGCACTTACACAAGGCACACATACACACACCTGCACACACATTCACACATGCACTCACAACCACTCACTTGCACACACATGCACTCACACTATCATGCACTCATGCATTCATACACTAACACATGCACTCACATATGCACTGAAACACTTAGACACATGCACACACAAACACACATGCACACACAAACATGCACTCACACAATCACACACTTTCACCCACACGAGCACATTCACACATGCACTTGCACTCACCCACATTCACACACACATGCACTCCACAAATATGCAACACACACATGCACTCACACACAAACTCATGCATGCACTCACACACAAACTCACACATGCACTCACACACAACCACACACACATGCACTCACGCACATCCATACACTCACACATGCACTGCCACACACACGGACTCATACACATGCACTGATGCACACACATGCACTTACACAGTAATATGCACACACATGCACTCACACACTCCCATACACACACATGCACTCACAGGCACACAAACACATACTCATGGACTCACACAGGCATTCACATACACACATGGAGTTACACATGCACTCACACACACTCATCCACTCACACATTCACACACATGCACTTACACACACACCCATAGACACATGCACTCACACATTTACACACACTCACATGCATACACATGGTCTTACAACTCACATGCAATTGCATGCACTCACACACATGCACACACATGCACTTGCACACACAGGCACACACTCACATGCACTTGGACACACTTACACACAGACACACATTTATTGATTTTCACATGGTGCGAAGTAACTCTACATGGATTTTTCAGACTTCCTTTATTCTCATGGAAATACATGTTGGAATCTATGTTCTTTTGGGGCTATTTTCAAGCAAGCAGTGGTGAGTGGTGGTGTCTGGTGCCAGCGGGAGGCGCAGTCATGTTGATGTGGCCCCCAGCTGCGGGTGGAGCTGCAGCCCCCGGTGGGCATCGCCTAGAGGCGTCTATGAGATGGGATGACAGGGGTGGGGGGACCCTAGAAGAAACACTGGAGGAAATCCCCGGGGGCATCAGCTGCAGCCTCCCACTGCACATAGGGTCTCGGTGCCCTCAGAAATGCACTCTCCAGGGGATCCCCAACACAGACACCCGAGCTGCGAAGAGGAGGAAAGACTGGAATCCGAGAACAAGGCCCAGGGAACTGTGATGTCAGGACACAACTCAGGACCTCCAGTGTCTGTGTTCTCACAGAGACCTCCCCTTCCCAACGTGCCCAGCACTTCAGCCTGCAGCCGACTCCCCTGGCAGTGTGAACGCTCGCCGACTCCCCTGGCGGTGTGGGCCCTTGGGTGCTTTCTGGACGGACTGGTGGTTCTTCGGGTGTAACCGACGGGCCTGGGGAAGGAAGGCGGTGTGTCCGCCTGGCTGTTTTCAGCTTTGTCCAGGTGTGGACGGGGCTGGCTGGTCTCTGGAAGTCCTTGGGGGTGGCCTGCTCCATGTCCTCTGCGAGGCTGCGAGGCATGAAAGACAGCTTGCTTCTCGGAGGGACGTCGGCGCCTTCCTTAGCAGGCCTGTAAACCAAGGGACAGGCAGAGCCATCGTTTCCGGCTTCAGGAAAATGATGAGGTTTTTAAAAAATAATTAAAATGCAATTAATTCTTTTATTGATGTCTCTGACGTTTGAGGACCCCATCGATGGACCACCAGGGTCCCCTGTGCAGCTGTGAGAGTCATGGCTGCTGATGGAGCTGCAGCGTTCGCACCGAGGCCTGCACAGCCCTGACGGGGGAGGACGCAGATCAGCCAGGCCTCGGCTTTCGTGTCTTATACACACGAGTACAGCAATTTTATCAAAGTCATGCTCCAGCACCTCCACGCACTATGGGCTGCTGAATCTCGAGAGCCCGGGAATTTGCGGGTTGGGAGTCACAGTTGTGGGTCAGTGACCCTTGTCACTCGCCAGGACGTTCTACTCAGTACTTTATCCAACAAGCATTTATGAACTCCTGACTTCCAGCCCCTGCACGAGTCCCCAAAGCACAGAGCTGGAGATGAAGACCGTTCCTCCAAATACCATGAGGCCCGGGTGAGGACAGCTGCCGGGACCACACAGGACAGTGAGCGCAGACACACAGGCTTGCACAGCGTGTAGGGGTGGAGGGCGGTCTAGGCATGTGGAGGCACCAGGGCTGGCAGAAAGAGCTCCTGAGAGAGGGCAGGCTTTGCAGGGTCTTGAGGCAGAAACAGGAGTTTCCCAGGTGGAAGAAGAACAAAGCATCGGAGCTGGGGTGGCTGGGTCTGAGAGTTCAAAGAAGCATTGTGACCCAGCCCAGGAACCTGGAGAGGCTCACGAGAGGCCAGGTGGGCTACTCTAGGGCAGACGGCCTCAGGAAGCGTGCAAGCAGCTCTGGAGAGTGTCCGCGAGTCAGGGAGAAGGGCCAGGGGCTCAGCTGGGTACAGGTGCACAGCAAGGAGAATGTCGGCCATCCTAGGCATCTCACTTCCGTCTCCCTTCTGATGAGGAAAGCAAGGCAGAAGCGGGTGCAGAACCTGTCAACGGTTGGCCTTTTCCTCTCTGTGCGACTGCAGCTGCGACAACTGAAGAGAGTGGCCAGGTTCTGGGAAGCCCAAGGGAAGAAGAGAGAAAAAGTGTCTCCAGGAGCAGCCTGAAAGTACGCAGGAAGCCGGACACATTAAGGCTACAACAGTAATTCACATTGCTTCCTGTAGACACATAGAACTAAGACTGTAACAGTAACTCACATTGCTTCCTGTATACACATAGAACTAAGGCTGTAACAGTAACTCACATTGCTTCCTGTATACACATAGAACTAAGGCTGTAACAGTAACTCACATTGCTTCCTGTATACACATAGGACTAAGGCTGTAACAGTAACTCACATTGCTTCCTGTATACACGTAGGACTAAGGCTGTAACAGTAACTCACATTGCTTCCTGTATACACGTAGGACTAAGGCTGTAACAGTAACTCACATTGCTTCCTGTATACACATAGGACTAAGGCTGTAACAGTAACTCACATTGCTTCCTGTATACACATAGGACTAAGGCTGTAACAGTAACTCACATTGCTTCCTGTATACACATAGGACTAAGGCTGTAACAGTAACTCACATTGCTTCCTGTATACACATAGGACTAAGGCTGTAACAGTAACTCACATTGCTTCCTGTATACACATAGGACTAAGGCTGTAACAGTAACTCACATTGCTTCCTGTATACACATAGGACTAAGGCTGTAACAGTAACTCACATTGCTTCCTGTATACACGTAGGACTAAGGCTATGACAGTAACTCACATTGCTTCCTGTATACACGTAGGACTAAGGCTGTAACAGTAACTCACATTGCTTCCTGTATACACGTAGGACTAAGGCTGTAACAGTAACTCACATTGCTTCCTGTATACACGTAGGACTAAGGCTGTAACAGTAACTCACATTGCTTCCTGTATACACGTAGGACTAAGGCTAGGACAGTAACTCACATTGCTTCCTGTATACAGGTAGGACTAAGGCTGCAACAGTAACTCACATTGCTTCCTGTATACATGTAGGACTAAGGCTAGGACAGTAACTCACATTGCTTCCTGTATACAGGTAGGACTAAGGCTGCAACAGTAACTCACATTGCTTCCTGTATACACATAGGACTAAGGCTGTAACAGTAACTCACATTGCTTCCTGTATACACGTAGGACTAAGGCTGTAACAGTAACTCACATTGCTTCCTGTATACATGTAGAATATGGTGTGGACTTTGGGATTTATTAAAAATGAGAAGACATTTCTAATTTCCTTATGCTAGGAGATTTCTCTGGCAACAAAATCGTCTTTCTTCAACTGAGAGGGGCCATTGTCCTAGAGTGAATCAACATTGAGCTCATCTGGCCCACAGAAGCAAAGTGAGACTAACAGGGATGGTTGCATGCTTGGGTTTGTATCTTTTCCAAGGGCATCATCTGTGTGTCTGTTATGACATAGTCAACCCATCGCCATCACGTGAATTTACCACATGAAGATGGGGAAACGGGCATGATGGACCTCAGGAGGATGGAGCAAGCGGGGATGCTGGTCTCTGGGCCACGTTGACAGCTGTGCCCCATGGCTGGGCGGAAGCTTCCCTCGCTGTCTGCGGAGACGGCTTCCCTGCCCCCACATGGTGAGTGATGGTGTTTGCACATTTACCGTGCAGATGGGCAGGTTATGGGCTACACCCAGTCCCAGGACATCTGGCTGAAGCACCATGACTCTCTCAGTCTAGAAAGATGATTGGGAAGCACCAGTGTGAGTCAGAGTGAGTGAGTGTTATTCTTGCACAATATTACATACAGCTTAATTCATGCAAATATAAATCACCCACAAATGTGAGCACCTCGTCACCCGCGGGACATTACTTGTGACTCACCTTGGAACGGGGCTGGCTCTCATGTCTGCAGGGACGGTAGATCTGAAGAGGCCACTCCCTGGGAGGTCCAGCAGGTCCCAGGGAGGCCTGTGACACCCATGTGAGGCTCAGAACGATGTTCTGTGGCCGTGGGAAGTGTGGAAAACCCACTCTCCACAAGTGCCACGTGTGGCCTTGGTTTTCTAAGATGAGCTTCGTTTCAATGCCTTGTGATTTGCCGATGTCAACACAAGCTGCCATGCGTGTGCTGGGGAGACACGGCAGCCCCCAGTCCAGTTGTCTTGCTGGCCTTAGGTTTGAGGAGAGCTCTATAAATGTTAACTGAGTGGATTCTAAAAGAGGTGAGTCAGATGGAATCACAGAACATGATGATGTGGAAACATTAATAAAAATATGTCTTATTTTATAAACTTTTATTTACGAGTGTTCCCATTGTAGGAGCACTTTAAGAAAGGGATAATGCTCATTTTTATGTAACAGTAAAATTTACAAAATCTTCATCCTCTGCCTTGCATCTGATAAGGCCACAATCTCTCCCTTCAGGGGCAGGAAGGGGCATCCAGGAGCGTCCCGGGGACGTGGTCGGAGGGAATTTGTAACAGCAGGGTGTTCGGTGGTGGAAATTTTCTCCTGAACCTGATCAGAGAATGAAGAATGCCACCGTTACAAGATTTACAGGAGAGGGCACCTATATAAATCCATCCGGATATTCTGGGCATACTAAGTAGATTGGGGGAGGAGGGGGTAAGGAGGGGCCGTGACAGTGACTCTTTCATCTCCTGGAGAAGACACACAAATAGACTTTCCACTGAAGAGAAGTCGAGGCCCATGCCCCACCCACGACTCAACGCACTTCTCCCATGACCCCATCAGGTGCCTGGGCTGCTGCACGGATCAAAAGACAGAAGAGTGGCCTGGTGCGCACTGAGCTGAGGGTGAGCAAAGGCAGCCCAGTCGCTGTGGTTCACAGCGTGATGCTTGTGCTGCCACAAAGTGTGCTGTGTGACACACGCAGCCCCCTTCCGTCAGAGCAGCTGAATGTTCCCATGAAGTAAATTTGAATGAGATAATGGCGTGGTCTGTGAACACCTGCTATGCTCTCTCGACTTCAGGCCTGAACTGTAGAATGAAGGAGTTGAACACCAAACCAACATGTGCGTCCTTATAACCCCCCAAATTATTCTGTTCTATTCTACTCATGGCCAAATACTAAAACAGAAATGTTTCCATTAGATGAAAATTCATGAAGATCTATTTCATGAATCATACCAAAAATAATGGAAAAGTTTCATGTAGAACATAACTTCCGATTCAATTTAGATCCATCTTACCGGAACGTATCCCTCGCTGTGTTTACGTTTGACCAGGTGATAATCGGTAAGCCGCTGCTCAGTGAGTTTAGCATGGCCAGCTCACCTCCGCATGTGTATGTGGTCATGCTGATATCTCGGAAAAAGTGAGGACAAACGACATTTCCAGGCAAGCCATTGTTCCCGCACTATTTTAGCATAGTCCTACATTTGTGATGGTTTACAATATGATGATGAATAACACGTGTTTGTTTAAAGTACGTAGAGCTTTCATATTCATTGTTTTGTTTGACCTCGCAGTCCTCTGGGGCAGGCAGGCAGGACAGAGGCCCCGTCTTACTGGCAGGCAGCGTGCTCAGTGTGCCGGGCGGGATCCGCGCCTTCTGCCTCCTCCCCGATGGCGCCCTTCCTCTCCGACCCCGCAGACACCTGCCTACTGCTCTCAGTGTTTCTACTTTACTAGACAGCACAACTTGCACACACCTCAAGTGTCTTATGACAAATGTCCAACCCTGGCAGCAGCATATTGGATCCCGTCCTGTCACGTGTCTGTGACCTGAGCCAGGCTTCCGGGTTTGGGGTCCCTATTTCCTCGTTTTCCTGTTTGTTACTATGGAAACGGGGGTATTGTGGTTAGGAGTAGCAAAAATGCGTTTTCCCAAACTCCCTAATATACACTTTTAGATCTAGAAGAAAGGTACACGTGAGGTGCTTTAAGTTCTTGGAAAGCAAAAAGGTGCGTATAAATGCTGGGTGGTGGCGTCATTATTAGTGATATTATTTCACTTTCTAAAGGCCCAAATTACCAGAGTGTTAACTCATTCCAACAAGGAGGCCCCTCTGGTTGACAGCACGTTTTGAGCGTTCTCCTGTGACCCGAGAATTCCCGGGATCTTTCCCTCCGGTATCGATCATGAGGGACCCCACAGTTCCTGAGTGAGCAGCATAAAAGATGGCTTTGACCTCAGTGACAGACTCGATACTAACATTCTCAGCATCCAGTGTCTCACCCCGTCTCCCAGAGACACATCATCTTTATTTTTATTTCATAGTCTTTGTAAACCATGTGATGATATGGAAGAGGCTGGTTTTGTGCTGCTGTTAATACAAACACACACACAAGCCGAGGACCCTCAGGGACCTCCCAGGACGCAGGGTGTGCGGGCCACCTCAGGTGCAGGGGCCACCCACCTCCGCCTCCTCCCATCTCCCCTCCACTCCCATGGCCCGACCCAGCCCTCAGATTCCCTCACTGTGGCTGCAGCAGCACCTGGCAGCCCACCGCCTCATCCCAGCCTCTCCCTGCGAGATCTTTCAGCCGCCCCGTCCTCGTCTCTAGCCCCCCGTCCTCTGTCCTCATCTCTAGCCCTCAGTCCTCATCTCTAGCCCCCCGTCCTCGTCTTTAGCCGCTGTTATCCTCGGAGGCCTCAGGTCCTTCCTTGCCTCTAGCCCTGTCTCCTGTTTGCCACCCTCCCCCGGCCTCCCTCCTTGTGGGGTTGGATTCTGTTAGACCCCATGGCTCACGTGCAGTCACGACCCAGGTTCTTCTCCCACCAGGAGCTCTCCCCAGCTGCACCTTGGTGTCCCCATGTTGACGGCAGGTGTAGACAGTGATGGGTCTTGCCCACAGAGTGGCCTCGTCACCCTGTGAGTGCTTCTATTGGCAAATCCAGAGGCCCCATGCAATCTGGAGTCCAGTGATGGAGTGAAGTCCACCCTCCCTTTCCTCCGACCCCATCCTCACCATGACCTCCAACCCCAGCCTCACCATGACCTCCAATCCCAGCCTCATCATGACCTCCGTGATAGCAAATCCTGACAGCTGGTGCCTTCCCGCCATCTCCACCAGCTCCACCCTCCTCCTCTTCTCCTCTCGTCTCAACCTCTCCACGGCTCAGCTTCCTTACATCCAAGTCCTTCCAGGTCACACAGGATCACCACACTAACCCTGCTAAAGCACCATTCAAGTCACACCATTGCCCTACTCCAGAACCTTCAGTGGCTCCCTACTGCTGGTACTAAAGTGGCCTTAAATCCAAGGCAGTCCATGGCGTACCTCAACCCTCTCATGAACATTTGTCCCCGTCATCCTTCAAACTGTTTGTGCTGATGAGGCCATTCTATTCTTTTCTGTTGCCCAAGCTCCCTGAACAGTTCTGCTGTAGTCTCTGCAGGAGGCGGGTCCACAAGTGATCAAAATCCAGGGTCACCAGGCCTGAGATGGGGTCACACCAGGGTGCGTGTGCATCCTCCTCCTGGAAAGGCCAGGTGGTCTTCCTGGAGGAAGTGGCATCTGAGTTGATAGACTTACGTGGAGTTACAAATCCTTGTCAGCGAGTCCAGGGCTGGCTGGAGAGTCTTGCCCATGTGAGAAAACGCAGACAGAGAAGTCCCCCGGGGGCTGTGATTCTCTTTCTGAGCCCTCCCTATCATGGCTGGGGACTCTGAGATCCTGGGGTGAAGTGGGCTGCTAGAGGCTGTGGAAGGGACACCTGGCTTCCCAGCAGCTGTGGAATCCTTTAATGAACATAACGTTGGCCAGCAGATGCCCCAGAGCCCCCCTCAGGGGTCGCCCTACCTCCTCATTAACACTCCCCTGAGGCCTCTGGGACTCTGGGTGTTTTCCTCACTGTTCAGGCGTTTGCGATCACAGGCAGGGCTGCACAGTCCTCAGTGATAGCCCTTACCTCCCCCGTTGGCCATGGCAGGACTGTTTACAACACAGAAATTGGCACACACTGTGCATCAGCTTGTGTGTGTGTGTGTGTGTGTGTGTGTTTCTGAGAACTCATTTTCAGCTGTTCACCAGCATACACAGATTTGGGGTTTTCTGTGAAATGTGGTCTGCAGGATCCCTGCTGGCATGTGGCCCGAGGGCTGACGGCATTGGTTGGTAATTGCACCTAGTGGGCTTCCAAGGAAGGGGCCTCCTCAGGGGCAGACGCCTCTCCTGCTTAGACCCTCAGGAGGGGCCCTTACAGACACACCACGGTGCCAGCGCCAGGGCCTGGCTGTTTCTCTCGGAATGCCAGTTTTCACAGCGTGCCCCCACAGAAAGAGTTGCAGGGTGGAAGCGTCAGTCCAGGTCCGCACTCCTGCTCCCCCGGAATGCAGTGACTTTCTTGGAGATAATGAGGCTTGTCCCAGAGAGGAAGAAACCGCACTGCAGGTCCTGGAGGTGAGATGCCTGGATAAGCCATGCCACACAAGGCATCGGAGCCTGGGCCGAAAGCAGCCACCCTCGGGACGAATGGTTCACTTGGCACTGTCCCTCCTGAGCTCAGGGACTATAAAGCGTGCCAGGCGATTTCCCAGAGATTCTCATCTCTGTTCAAGTATTAGCCTGCATCCCACTTTAGGAAAGGAACAAGAAATGACAAAAAAATCAGCATTTGAAAATAATTTCCACTCATTCTTATTGTTTGTGCTTATTACAGCTTCGTTTAAACCAGTGTTTAGCAGCTAACAGTGTAAATGCTCATTTTAACAGTTAAATTTACAGTTTTAGACAGTTTTTATGATGCCCAGCGACATCAATTTGACAAGTCTACTGTTAAAATAACTGTTTAAGCACTACATTTATAGCGGAAAACATTCTTTGTCACTGCTAAATTGACTCGTTTTAACTGCTACTTATTGTCAAAAACTTTTTTAAAAAAAATTACAGAGTGAGAGCATAGCAGTTTCTGTAACTTTGAAATTAAGTCACTCAAATTTTTGGATTACATAGAAACATTGCATTTTAAACAGTTCCTACTAAAAAGTGGGAAAATCATGTATTGCATTTACAGTGAGAACTATTAACTTGATTTATAGTGAAAGCGAAAATTTACTGCGTGTGGCTGGGCACCCAGATGTGAAGAACTTGTCCTGAAGGTCTAGTCGAGTTTTCCTTCCATTTCAAAGAGTTGGTTGAGAATATGGTGTCTTTATTGCTCTTATAGAGAAGTGGATTTACCTTCAGAGGGGGGAGTTAATCACAAATATTAGCATCATTGATAATGAATGCTAAATATTAGAGATTATTGTATCACTGACAGATTTTCATATTAAGAAGGGTAATACATTGTTTGTTTCTGCGGAAAGCGAGCAATTTGGAATTTTTTTTTTGAGACATCATCTTGCTCTGTTGTCCAGGCTGGAGTGCAGTGGCACAATCATAGCTGACTACAGCCTCAACCTTCGGGGTAAAGGGATCCTCCCACCTCAGCCTCTGGAGTAGCTGGGACCATAGGTGTATGCCACCACGCCCAGCTAATTGTTGCATTTTTTGTCGAGATGGGGTCTCATCATGTTACCCAGGCTGGCCTCCAACTCCTGGGCTCAAGAGATCTGCCCACCTTGGCCACCCAAAGTCTGGGATTTACAGGCATGAGCCAATGTACCCTGCTGTGGAATATTAAAAAAAAAATTAAGTGTGCTGTAAGAAAAGTTTAGTAGCATCTTTGATTATATGACCTATTACATATTATATAAACTACTGTATATGTTCTGTTACATATATAGTATCGACATTACATATGTGTATATACATATACGTCTCCTGCTTAGAATCTCGCAATTTGATTTCTGTGGCACTGCATCATTTGTGTGTACAAATGCAGCTTAGATCAAGCATCTTCTTTTTTAAAAGCTTTTAAAACTTTGAATTTGTAAATAATCATTTCAGACGATTGATTTCCGCACTTGTCAATCAGCTGTTCTGATTCCATTAACCTGTATCTTTGTAGGAGATTCAAGCACTTGTAGCATTTTAACAACAGGAAATGATGTCATCAGACATTATCTTAAGTAAATGTACAGTTGATCTTCGCCAAGCAAAAGCATTCTTCATTTTAGCATTGAAATGAGGAAGTAAGCAGTTTCCTTACTTAAACCACACCAGTAATCTCAGGGGGAAATAAAAGAAATCCCGGCATGAGTTATGGGTCTTCTGCCGTGTTTAGAGAGACATTCCAAGTGTTGCAGACAGGTTGGATTTCATGCCAGCTTTGGTGGCCTCTTTATATCACTCTTTAAAACTTCCCAGATAGCTTAGCATTCCCAGCTTTAGGGAACTAATGACCCACTTAGAGGTTTCCCTCTTTTCTCCATCCTGTGGCAGAGGAAACAGCTCAGCTTCAAGAAGTGGTGGCATTAGGGTCTCCAACTCAGTTGTCATATTTCTAAAAGTCTTTACTGGGCACCTAGGACCTGAGCCAGGCTCAGTCTTACATGCTGGTTCCATGAAGGATGCACAGGCAGAGCGAAGGCTCCCCTAGGTCGGCGGATGAGCGCCCAGGTGTGTAGATCAGTCACTGTGTGCATTCCGTCAAGTTCATTGCAGAGGAGGTAACCCAACGGAATGATGGGAAACAGCAGTGAAAGGTTTAAGACTTTTATGAGGAGAAACTAGAGAAACTTTTCTAGAGAAATAGGCTTTTAAGGAAAAGCCAGTGATTTTCTCCCTTTTTTGGTAATAAAAATTGGAAGAAAAATCTTTGAGTGAGCAGCAGAAGAGATGTTGGTGAGAATTTGTGGACAGTCACGGGAATCAATGTGTTTTCATAGCAGGTACTTGGTCACCGAGTGGCACCTACGAGTCTGAAGCCCGTCTTCTGGTGATGCCATTGGTTGGATCTGATTTTATAGTTAAAAAGCAAAAGGACAAACACACACCAACTCCAGGCCATGGCTGTTTCGCAGCCGTCTGTCTGCACTGTGCAGATGTTCCTGCCGCACAGGGGAACCTGCCTTGACTTGATGTCAGTTGGGGCTGTTCACACAAAGAAACCAGGAAACACAGCAGCCTCCCTGCTTCTCTGAGTATTGGTTGGGGACGGTCAGTTTGAGAGATCTTGTGCATCCCTGGAGGCCTCGCTCCCCCGTCCCCCAGAGCCTGGGTGTCAGACCGTCTCTGCCTCTCCCCTTCCCCTTTCCATCCTGCACAGAACACTAACCCTGGCGTCCCTGGCGTCTGTGGCCCCATCGCCCTCTGACCTCCCTGACAGCACTGTGATCTCTTGCAGGGCAGGGGCCATGCTGTGACTCTGCCTGGATCCTCCACGCCCCGCACAGAACCCGCAGGGGGTGTTGACTCAGCAGGGCCACAGCGATGCGTGACTTAATGAAGTTGCTTTCAGTAGAAGGTGAGAGAATTTTAACACCAGTCTGCAGTTTTTCCTTCTAACACCATGAAATCTGTGACAGAGACCGAGAAAGTGTCATTCCTGCCCTGACATCCCAGTACACTAACAAAATAACCTCTAGCAACCTCAGTAAACAGAGCAGGCCAGTGTTCTCACCTAGGCTGATGTACTAGGGAAACCAGCAAACACACCCAGAGCCCTGCAGCCCGAGCTCCTCCCTACCCCTCACTCTGGCTCATGTCCGTCCCATCCCGACCCTGCATGTCATCTGGAAGCTCCCACAGTGCTTAGCTGTGTAAAATCTACAGACCAACTCCAGCTCCATGTGCAGGCCTAATTCTGCAGAAGTATGTGATCATGATAAACTTTTAAATGCAGGCTCAAACAAAGCAACTCTGTAAATATTTCAGTGTGCCCACCTGTTCAAATTATTCACCACAATGAGGTCACCATCCCCCCTGGCTCTCTCTCTCTACTTTTTGTGCTATTGTTCCCGTTTAACAATAGATGCAAGTTAATAAAACCCAATTAAAGATGGGGGGGATGCAGTTTGTAATGATTCAGATAGAATATCCACTCATGAATAATTAGCATAAAGAGCATAAATGTTTCGCGAGGAATTTTGAGCTGTCCTGTGCCCCTGATGTCTAATGAGCTTTCACACACGACTCCAAACTGTGCTTTCGGCCACCGCCTCATTTTGCAGTGCTTCGCGAACATGGTTTGAAACAACAGATTAAAATGTGAAAGGAAAATAAATCTTGAGATCTCAAAACCACGAAGGATATTCCTGTGGACCAAGGACAGGCAGAGCTCACAGTCGTCCCTCTGGTCACATGGGATGAACGCGTTTCTGGGCTCCCTCCGCCCTATTGCTTCTTGAAGCCAGACGAAGGCATGAGTGACTCTTCCTGTAAATTGTTCAATCAGCGAACGATGAATCAGAAACTCAAAATAATGCAACCATTTGTCTGTTATCTACCTATGACCTGGAAGCCCCTCCTTGGTTCGAGTTGCTCTTTCTGGATGGAAGCAATGTCCATCTTACGTATGTTGATTGATGTCTCACGTCTCTTGAAAATGTATAAAAGCAAAGCTGTGGCCCGGCCACCTTGGGCACATGTCGTTAGGATCTCCTGAGGCTGTGTCATGGGTACATCCTTAACCTTGGTGAAATAAACTTTCTACATCAACTGAGACCTGTTAATTTGGGGTTAACAAAAATATACCTGTGGAAAGATTTAAATAAAAATATCAGCCTGTATTTCTACTTTGGTTTACAGTGCTCACAAACGTGGTTCCAGCTTTTTATCTAATTATTACGACTCACTAGCAGTTTCAGTCACAGGCCAATCTCGTCTCACATCCTCCTTCTGAACCCATCAGTGTTCTTGGTCAAGCACCTGGCTGGCAACGAGCCGGGAGTACAGACATGGGAGTGGTTTGAGGTGTAGAAACAGCCCCAGCTTCAGAGCCCTGGCTTCAGATGTGAGAACAAGCATTTGGAATTCTGATAATTTCAAACAGACCTGCACACACCCCTCCTTTGAGGAAATGCTTTCCCCAAATACTTACAGAACTAATTGACCAATGAAAACATATTCAAGAAGAGTGAGTGCTTGATCTCAAACTCTCCGACGAAGCTGCCCTGCGCTCTTCTGTTTCATAGGTTTCCAAACACATGTTCCACACTCGGATGAAGCCATTGTGGCCTCCTCGGATTTGCTTCCTGCAGATGTTTGCTTCCATCCGTGGTTTGGCAGAGAACAGAGCACTACGTTTCCAGCACGTCCTGCTCATCCTGCTGGGGCCCGGACACTTCTTCAGTCAGAATAATTAATATTGTCAGGTACGTGGTGTTTGACGATGCCTGAAAGTTATTTCATTTGAGGCCATTGCATGTTAACCTCCCAGAGAGGGTGTCATCTCTGCAGAACGACCCCCAGGACCTGGTGCTCACATGGACCCTGCTTCCATTGCATCCTGATCCAGGTACAACAGGTGCCTGCGACAGGCGGGGAAACAGAACCAATAGAAAATGCACATGCATGCACACACACACACACACACACACACACACGCAGGAGTTACGAAGAATTGGCTTAGGAAATTGTTGAGGCTGAGGAGTCCCAGGATGGGCCGTTGCAACCTGGAGACCCAGGAAAGCCAAAAGTTCCAGTCTCAGTCTGAAGACCTGAGGAACAGGAGAGCCAATGGGGTGAATCTTAGTCCAAGGGCAGGAGAGGACACAGGTCCCAGCCCAGCAGTCAGGCAGGAAAGGGGAGTTTCTCCTTCCTCCGCCTTTTGTTCTGTCCATGCCCCGAAGCACTGGAAGGTGCCAGCCACTCCACAGAGGGTGGCCAACTTGATGAGGTCCACTGATTCAGATGTTAATCTGTTTCAGGAACACCCTCACAGACACACCCAGAACAATGTTTGACCTGGGCACCCGGTGCTGGTCAAGCTGACACGTGGAATAAACCATCGTCATAGAGGAATGTCCATAGAAGGACTTCCATGGAGGATCTTCCATAAACAGACTTCGATAGAGGATCCTCTATAGAGGGACTTCCATAGAGGGAATTCCATAGAGGATATTCTATAGAGGGACTTCCATAGAGGGACTTCCATAGAGTACTTCAATAGAGGGAGTTCCATAGAGGACCTTCCATAGAGGACTTCCATAGAGGACTTCCATAGAGGAATTTTCATAGATGGACTTCCACAGAGGGAATCCCATAGAGGAACTTCCATAGATAGATTCCATAGAGGTACTTCCACAGAAGGAATCCCATAGAGGAAATTTCATACAGGGACTTCCATAGAGGGACTTCCATAGAGAGACTTTCATAGAAAGACTTCCACTGTGGGACTTCCATAGAAGGACTTCCGTAGAGAGACTTCCATAGAGGATCTTCCATAGAGGGAGTTCCATAGAGGGACTTTCATAGAGAGATTTCCATAGAGGGGCTTCCATAGAGGGACTTCCATAGGGGACTTTCATAGAGGGACTTCCATAGAGGGGCTTCCATAAGGGACTTCAGCTGTGGGACTTCCATAGAGAAACTTCCATAGAGAAACTTCCATAGAGAGGCTTCCATACAGGATCTTCCATAGGGGGAGTTCCATAGAAAAACTTTCATAGAGAGATTTCCATAAAGGGGCTTTCATAGGGGACTTCCATAGAGGGACTTCCACTGTGGGACTTCCATAGAGGGACTTCCACTTTGGGACTTCCACAGGCGACTTCCATAGAGGGACTTCCATAGAAGGACTTCCATAGGGGACTTCCATAGAGGGACTTTCATAGAGAGACTTCCACTGTGGGACTTCCATGCCCCATTCTCTGAGGCCATGAGGTGGGGATACACTGGCCCTCGGGGGACCTCCCTGCCTCTCAGCCATGGCGGTTGTCACCTGTGGTAAACAGAATGGCGGGAGCAAGCGGGATGTCCTCGGGCGCGTGCCCTATCCATGAACGTGGTGCAGCCTGCAGTGTGAGTCTGATGGGAACTGCAGGAAGAGGAGGTGGGAAGAGCACAGGGCCCTCCACAGCCACAGTTCCAGGTGTAGGTAAGGCTGAAAACCAAACCTGAATGTTGAGTTCAGAGTAAATCAGGGGCCTGGAGAGTTTGAAACTAAACTTTTGTGAAATTCTAGCAAAAAGTAAAAAAAAAGAGGCAGGCTGTTGGATGTCCAAATATTCAGTCCAGCTTGGAATTCACTTTTTTCTCCTCGGCTTTGACATTTTCACCCTTCCCAACAGTCATCCCAGCAACAGGCCTCCTCCATGTCCCTCAGATCTGATGGAAGACCTGAGTGGTGATGGCCATTTCTTGTTGCTCTAATAGTTCCTCCTTTGGTGGAATCTGCAGCCATCTTTCCTCCTGGTGGAATGGACTTGTGTTCTTTGAGTTTTCACTTTTTAACTAACAAGTCCTCCATGTTCTCCCCAAGCCCAGTGTCACTGGTTTTCAGCTTGACTGCTGCTTGGGTTGGGGGGTTATTAGGCTTGATTTACTGGGTAGCTTCTCAGAAATGTCATCTCTGCATCTTGGACCATGTTTGCCAAGGAGCAGTCAGGCTGCAGGCCCTGCAAAGCCACCCACTGGGTCTGACCCAGTGTGGCCTTGGGGCACAGGGAAAGAGGAGTGTCCCAGTGTCACCAGGGGATGGGTCACCCCCTCTTGGCAGAGCCAGCCCAGGGATTCTCCGAGTCAGGCCTGTCTCCAAGCTGACTTCCAGGCGGCAGCTCATTCCTGAACCTGAACCCCGTTTGTCACATGTGCTGAACATGTGCCCCGGCGTGGGAAGCTGTGCAATCTAAAGGCACTGTCGAAGTTCACTTGGGTCTGACAGACATCTTCCTTTAACACCTGAGAGGAAGACTCTGCAGTCCAGGATGGTTTAAAACAAAAAACCCCTGTATCTCCATAATCCTTGGCTTCCCCATGCTCCAGCAGACTGGAAACAGCTGCTTTTCTTCCTAAGGATTCCTTCAGGTGAGAGTTAGAATCCTTTGTAAAATTTTCCTGAGGAGCGAGGCTCTCTCCCGCTGATGAGAGGCCACAGGACCAAGATGCTGGAGGTCGCGACTGGGAGGTGCAGGTTCCCAGGGCCTGGACTTCCATGGCCCCAGGGCACAGGCAGCATGATGCTGAGAGAGCTGCTGTTTACAAGGTGACGACCACATCCTGGCCTAAATGCACTCCCGTCCCAGGGGTAAGGTGTTAATTAGTGTAGGACACCTCTGCGGTGGAGGGGACAGGAAGTGCCCCTGAGTGATTAGGGTTCTAATGACGGCTCCTGGGAGTGGAATGCTTTGCTGCGCTGCGGGCCGCCTTCCCTGAGCCTGAGCTTAGTGTTTTGTGAATGTGCGACAGAAGTGGCCACATGGAAACGTAGGTAGCTTCTTTTTCCTTCTCCACTTAAACACTGGCTTTATTCAGTGACTGCCCTTCCTGGAGTCGGAGTTGACTGAACTGCTCAGTGACTTTCCACCTCGTTTCCAAGCGACAGGAAGCCAGGTTTTCCTCTGTTTACGTATTTCTTCCGGACTTCTCTTACAACCTGGGATGGCCTGAAGAGCGTTTGAGAGGCTGAGATGAAGAGTTTTACTCCTTTTGTCCACATGCCGCATGGAGACGCATGACTGAGATGGAAACCACAGTATCCTGCTGGACTTCTCTGCTTTCCCCCGAGGAGCTCCTTTCATGCCTCCACCACGGAGCCAGTGCTGTGATGGAGGAAGAGGAAGGGCGAGCCCTCTCCTTCCCCTTTCCTCCCTTTGGTATCACATTTATTAGGGTCCGTACCTGGGAGTCTTACTGGTGATGATGAAGAAATGCTTTTCAAGATTTACTTAACAGCAGTTATTGACGGAACACTCTCACCCACAGCGATGACTTAATGAGAGGCTACACTGTGTGCTCGGGGTGACCAACGGTACCCAGACACCAACCCTGCCCAACGGGGGCTTCAACCCCATGCTATGAAGGCCAGATTCACAGAAAAGTGTCGGTTACAGACAAGGACGTGATGAGCTTGGAAACACTGCTGCGATCCCATGGAAGGTGGCCTGAGTTCAGCACAGACATGAGCACTTCACGGATGGGGAAGTGAAAAGCTGAGTGGACTTTAGGGCTTTGGCACCAGCTGGGACATGTCATCTGCCTTGCAGTGTCCAGAACAGGGACAAAGAACAGGCTGGCACCTGGTCTGGGTGTGCCTATTGGGTCACATAGAGACCTCTCTGATGGGCACCTGGCCTGGGCATGGCTGTCTAGTCACACAGGAACCTCCCTTCTGATGGGCACCTGGCCTGGGCATGGCTGTCGGGTCACACAGAGACCTCTCTGATGGGCACCTGGCCTGGGCATGGCTGTGCAGTCACCCAGGGACCTTTCTCTGATGAGGAACAGCATGGCGGTCCATCACCTGGATGGCTTCGTCCAGATGGGACAGGATGGACGAGAGGAGGCCACCACAGTGGGATCTTGGTGAGAAACAAATGCCCAGGGGGTGGGAGATAAATCCTGCAAAGGTTCAGAGTCCTGTCACTTCGCTGAAGCTTTTTAGGAGTCCTGTACCAGGGTAGGCTGGAGTCTTCTCTCTGGGTGAGAAATGAATGGCTGCATCTTACAAACCTCACTGACAATGCAGCTGCAGACTGTGTGGGCCTGGCAGGAAGGGCTTGGCAGCAGGTCAGGCTGCGGGTCGACATTCCCACTTATGGTGCTGCAGTATCGGGGAGGACTCTGGTATGGAGTTTGTGGCAAGCCTGGGTGAGGAAATGCAGGTACCCAGGCATTGGAACAAGGCCATGCACCTGCAGCATGGGGGACTCTGGTATGGAGTTTGTGGCAAGCCTGGGTGAGGAAAGGCAGGTACCCAGGCACTGGAAGAAGGCTGTGCACCTGCAGCAGAGAATTATCTGTCTTCCAAAGTCAGCCCTGGCATGTAGGTGAGCCCGGGGCACTAAGGGACCCTGTCCTCACCCTGCCCATCATGAGCCCACCAGGACAGGCCCCCACTGTCCATCTCGAGATGGGGCGGGACATCTGGATTATGCTTGAACAGGACCAGAGGAAGTGAGGAAGCTCCATGATTGTGGGCACACCCCCCCAAGCCTCCCCCATTCCCTCCCTGAGTTCCTACAGCCCACACTTGGTCCCTGGGGCCAGCTCGGTGCAGGGGCCCAGGTATGTATCATCTTAGTGTCCACCAGAGGGAAGCTTTACCCACTGTGCAGGAATCACTGGGCAGCCACGGGCCCGTGGGCTCAGTCGGCCTCTGGTATGGTGGACACAGGAACTAGAAGGCTCCAACTTAAGCTCTTTCTTTTAATCTCCTAAAATACTCCTGGGGGCCTCCATGTTTTGAGTATTCATTCACGTGTTCACTCATTTATTCAAGAGATATTTAATGCAAGTGCTGGGGATTGGTCAGCATGTGTACTTAGTAAATATGACCGAGTGATGGGTGAACCAATGCATCTGTATGGAAGTAGACAACACAATAAAAAATAAGACCAGAAAATCAAGATATGATGGTTAAAAATGAAGCCTGCTTTTCCCGGGTGGAAATTCCTGCACAGACTGATCAGAATGTTTGAAGTGAAACATGTTATTATTATTCTGTAAAATCATCTGTCCTAGAAAGGAGAAAAGAGAATGCTCTTTTATACACTTTATTATGTTTAAGAGAGATTGGTTTATAAACATCAAACAATAGATGTCATTAAAGTTGTTTTTGGTTCCATTAACGTAGGGTGAGGTTGTAGGATCGGCTTAAACTGGATTCTGTGTGTGTGTGTGTGTGGGAAAAGGCAGCACTTTTCCCAAGTGAATGGACCATGCTTTCTTTCCTCAATTTTTATTTTGCTTTCTCTCTTGAGTGCTTGGCGCCTAGAAATGGACAAATTCCAACAGAAGCTGAATGTTAGCGTATTCTTTTCCAATTAAGATATAATTCACATACTGTAAAATGTACACTTTTAGGGTGTACAATTCAGTGACACTAAGTAAATTTGCAAAATTGTGCAGTCTTCACTACTATCTAATGCCAGAACATTTCATCACCCGCTGCCTAATGAACCTGGTATCCACTGGCAGTTCTGCTCCACTTCCAGACCCGAGCATTTATTATCTCCTTCCTGAAATTTGGCTGAACTTATTAGCTCTAATTGTTTTTTGTTCTTTTTGTGTGGGTATGGATCTTCAGGATTTTCCTTATGTGAATAGAAATAGCTTTACTTGTTTTCCCGTCTGGCTGTCTTTTATTTCTTTTTCTTACCTAATCACCCTGGCCAGAACTTCTAGTACAATGTTGATTGAAGGTGGTGAGAGCAGACATCCTGGTCTTGTTTCTGATGTAGGGGGAAAACTTTTAGTCTTACCGTTAGATATAAGGCTGTGAGTTTTTGTAGATGTTCTTTGTCAAGTTGAGAAAATTGTGTCCCATTTCCAGTTTGTTGAGTGCTTTTATCATTAAACAGTGTTTGATGTTATCAAGTGCTTCTTTTGGGATGAGTGTCTATTGAGACGAGTGTGTGTGTTTTTGTTTTTATCTTTATTAATATGGTCCTGCATCATCAATTGATGTTTGCACATTGAGCCATCCTTGCCTTCCTAACACTATTCAGCACTGATGCTTTTAGTACTTAGATGACAATATAGCTGCTGTAGCCTTCTCCTACCCCAGTTAAGACATTATTCAAACATAGTAAGCAGAACACAGAGAAAACTACTTATGAATACATTAATACTTGTTTGGAAACCAAGTATTTTTTGGTAGCTGAAAAGTATTCAGACTTCTTGTTGAGGCTCTGGGGCTTTTCTCTCTATAGCTAAGTCTTTAATCATAAATGTACATACAAAGTAACTGATGAACACGAATAATAACCAGTATTTATTAAAATCTTACATTAGCTTCATTTGTTCCCATAATACCTAGTGGGTTAGTTATTAACAATCCCATTTTACAGGCCAAGAAACTAAGACTTGGCAAGGCTCCTTAATAAACTTAAAACTATAACTCTTTGACATCAATATCAAGTCCTGTTTCTTTCTGTTTTTTAATAAATTTCAACTTTTTCTATAGATTAAAGGGTGCATGTGTAGATTTGTTACAGGGGTAAATTGCATGATACTGAGGCTTGGAGTCCCAATGATCCTGTCACCCAGGCTGTAAGTGTAGTACCCAACAGTTGGTTTTTCAGCCCATGCCTCCCACCCTCCCTTCCCCTCTAGTGACCCCCGCTGGTGTTCCCACCTTCACAGTTGTGTGTATCTGATGTTTAGTTCCCACTGGTCAGTGAGAACATGTGGTATTTGGTTTTCTGTTCTTGTGTTAGATTGCTTAGGATAAAGGCCTCCAATTCCTTCATGTTGCTGCAAAGGGTATATTTAGTTCTTTTTTATGACTGTGTAGTATTCCATGGTGTATAGGTACCATGTTTTCTTTATCCAGTTCACTGTTGATGGGTATATATGTTGATTCCATGTCCTTGCTGCTGTGAATACTGCTGCCATGAACATATAAGTGCAAGTGTCTTTATGATAGAATGAATTATTTTCCTTTAGTATATACCCAGTAGTGGGAATGCTGGGTGAATTGGTAATTCTATTTTAAGTTCTTTGAGGAATCTTCAAACTGCTTTCCACAGTGGCTGAACTAGTTTTCATTCTCACAAACACTGTGTAATTGTCCCTTTTCTCTACAGCCTCTGTAATTTTTTGACTTTTTAATAATAACCATTTGGACTGGCATGAGATGATATCGCATTGTGGTTTTGTTTTGCATTTCTCTGATGATTAGCAATGTAGATAATTTTTTCATATGTTTGTTGGCTGCTTGTGTGTCCTCTTTGGAGAAGTGTCTGTTCATGTCCCTTGCCTATTTTTAAATTGGATTGTTTGGTATTTTGCTTCTTGATTTGTTTAAGTTCTTTGTAGATCCTGGATATTAGACCTTTGTCAGATTTATAGTTTGCAAATACTTTCCCCCATTCTGTAGGCTGTCTGTTTACTCTGTTGATAATTTCTTTTGCTGTGCAGAAGCTCTTTAGTTTAATTAGGTCCCACTTGACAATTTTTCTTTCTGTTGCAATTGCTTTTGGGGACATAGCCAACAATTCTTTGCCAAAGCTAATGTTGAGAAGAGTATTTCCTAGGTGTTCTTATAGGATTTTCATAGTTTGAGGTCTTACATTTAAATATTTCATCATCTTGAGTTAATTTTCATATACAGTGAGCGACAGGGCTCCATTTTCATTCTTCTGCACATGGCTAGTCAGCTATCCCAGCACCATTTATTGAAGAGGGAGTCTTTCCCCATTGCTCTTTTTTGTTGGTTTTGTTGCAGATCAGATGGTTGCAGGTGTGTGGGTTTATTTCTGGGTTTCCTATTCTGTTCCAGCGGTTTTTGTGTTTGTTATTGTACCAGTATCATGACCAAGCCCAGTTTCCAACCATTAGGAGAGGGCTGGCCTCTGCATTTCTTTACTATAATGAGGTGGCATTTATCATAACCTGCAAACCTAATGTGTTCGGGAGGGAGTCAGGAGGGATTACATCCCACTGGCAACTACATCCCACCCACACCTATGTCCCACCCACACCCAGTGAGGGAGTACATCCCACCCACATCCAGTGAGGGAGTATATCCCACCCACACCCAGTGAAGGATTGTGTCCCACCCACACCCAGTGAGGGAGTACATCCCACCCACATCCAGTGAGGGAGTATATCCCACCCACACCCAGTGAAGGATTGTGTCCCACCCACACCCAGTGAGGGAGTGTGTCCCACCCACACCCAGTGAGGGAGTATATCCCACCCACACCCAGTGAGGGAGTGTATCCCACCCATACCCAGTGAGGGAGTGTATCCCACCCATACCCAGTGAGGGAGTGTATCCCACCCATACCCAGTGAGGGAGTGTATCCCACCCATACCCAGTGAGGGAGTGTGTCCCACCCACACCCAGTGAGGGAGTGTGTCCCACCCACACCCAGTGAGGGAGTGTGTCCCACCCACACCCAGTGAGGGAGTGTGTCCCACCCACACCCAGTGAGGGAGTGTGTCCCACCCATACCCAGTGAGGGAGTGTGTCCCACCCATACCCAGTGAGGGAGTGTGTCCCACCCATACCCAGTGAGGGAGTGTATCCCACCCATACCCAGTGAGGGAGTGTATCCCACCCATACCCAGTGAGGGAGTGTATCCCACCCATACCCAGTGAGGGAGTGTATCCCACCCATACCCAGTGAGGGAGTGTATCCCACCCATACCCAGTGAGGGAGTGTATCCCACCCATACCCAGTGAGGGAGTGTATCCCACCCATACCCAGTGAGGGAGTGTATCCCACCTACACCCAGTGAGGGAGTGTATCCCACCTACACCCAGTGAGGGAGTGTATCCCACCCATACCCAGTGAGGGAGTGTATCCCACCTACACCCAGTGAGGGAGTGTATCCCACCCATACCCAGTGAGGGAGTGTGTCCCACCCACACCCAGTGAGGGAGTATATCCCACCCATACCCAGTGAGGGAGTGTATCCCACCCATACCCAGTGAGGGAGTGTATCCCACCTACACCCAGTGAGGGAGTGTATCCCACCCATACCCAGTGAGGGAGTGTATCCCACCCATACCCAGTGAGGGAGTGTATCCCACCCATACCCAGTGAGGGAGTGTATCCCACCTACACCTAGCATAGTTGGGACTGGGGTGAGGGACACCTGGAGCACCCACAAAGGCCGCATCAGGAGCTCACCGGGCTGGAGCACTGGGTGTTGAAAGAAGTGTGCAAACACTCCAGACAATCCATTCAACCCGTGAGTCCACTGTTCTCCCACTCTCAGCTCTCATGTCGCCGTTGCTCTTCCTGACACCATGCTCAAGTTCTCAGATGGCTGGTTGGAATTCCAATTTAGGAGACGTGTGATTGCCTTTTAAAGTATTACCTTCAATAATCCTTTATAACAGTTCTCTCAGAAGGGACCAAGCTACAAGAAGTCCTTTCTTTGCTCTCTGTTGTCCAGTGGTCACAATACACTTCTCTCATCCATTCTTCATGAACGTGTCCCTTCACCAAAATGGTCACGTGCCCACTCTGTGCCAGGGCTTAGGCGAGGCTTGGGAACGTGAAAGAAGCTGCGGCTGGCTTGTGCCTGTGGGCAGACGGGTGTGCACATGCGGCATGGCAAGACAACATGTGGCCTCCGGAGTGCAGCTGACTCCAGCTGGGTGTGGTGTGGTGTAGGGGTCCTTTCTCTGGCAGGGTGTGGAGGGAGGCCGCAGTGGGGGGGTCATCACTTCAATGATTCTGGGCTTATCACCTAATCTGTGGGTTGTAAATTCCTTTTGATTGTCCCGACTCACTCTTCTGTCCCTCGGCGACTGACACTGCCACCAGACCCTGGAAGGAAAGGAACAGAGGTAGCAGAAATCCAAAGCACACGCTTTCAGACCTGAGTTTAAAACCACAGTCGAATGCCATTAGGGTATTTGTGGATGGTTTATCAGTGGTCTCTGTTTGGGGTCCCCCAGCTTTGTGTTGACTTTGTGTTTCACGAGGACATCATGTACCTGCTTGGTGGGGAGCCAGTGTCCCCATAACCATGAGCTCCTGCATGTCCCTCTCCCAAACAGAACGCTTGAGTGTGGGGAATTGCCTGTGAAACATGGACTGGGTTTGCTGTGTGGTTCTGAGACCTCATCGTGAGGAAAACTGGGTGCAGAGGGTGGGTCTCTTGCCAAGCCTGAGCCCAGCCTGGGGTCCCCACCCCAGCCTCTTGCCAGCAGCAGGTGTGGAGTCAGCTTTTCCTCTAGGACCCGGCACGGCGGCACGTCCATGAGACCCCAGACAAGCAATAGGGCTTTGTTGTTTTCCCATCTCTGGCCAGGGTCAGACCCAGCAGCTCTAAATTCATGACATTCCCTGTGTTTCTGCTCTCTAGCTCATAATAAGCTGGTAGCTTAGCCACCTCTTTTTAAAATTGGCTAGGAAGGCAGGAGAGCTTTACAACCCAAACAGTCAATTTCAAACTGCCGAACCCAATCAGGCCGGATGGAGAGTGACCCTTTAAATTGATTGTGAAATTGGAAGATGGCTCCTTGTCCTCCTGCAGGGTGTGTGGGGAGCCATCACTTCCTTCCTAAATGGGAGCTGCAGCCTGTGCCTGCACACGCCCTGCCCAGCACCCCAGTGCCTGACTTTGAGGCCGGTTCTGGGGAGCACAGGCCGGGCGTCCGGCCCGCCGCCGGCCGGCGCAGCATCCAGATGCCACGGCTTTATGCACTTGTACATCTATGCTGTGTCTCTCTCAGGTTCTGATTTTAATTTGGGTAATATTCCCGTGAATAATAACATCTAATTACAACATCCATTAAAAGTTAGTAACATTAATTTAACAGGGAGAAAATCTAATAGAGTTCTTAGAGTGATACTGGCATTTTTCCATTAAATTAATGTTACAAACTTTTAACAGGATGTCTTAAACAGGCATCGTTAGTGTTGGGAATATTAAACAAATTAAATTCAGGCCTGGAATATGAGGTGGGAGCCCATTTATGAATCCAAACAAGGTGTCTGCCGACCTCTTTCATGCACTTAAAATATCCAGCAGGAAGCCGCAAGGCAGTTCAGTGGCCGCGGCGCCCAGGACTTCTGGTGACTTCCAGGGGACGGAGTGCCCCTTGGGCCTGGTGCCCAGCGATCCGTCCCTACACAGTTTGAGGGCCTCAGGGTGTGCCACTATTTCACCTTAAATTCTCAAATTTCTCTCTGAAATTCATCATCTTGCCTGAGTTTTGTTTCCTGAGTGTCACGAAGCCACAGCACTGGTGAATCCATGAAGACTCTGTAGCTAATGGCTCAGCAGGCCACGGAGGGTCCCTGAGGGCCAGGGGGCATTGTTGGGGTGTCCCGGCCAGCTTGCTGTTGTGAGTGAAGCTGGGGGATGGACGGTTCCCGAGACCCTAAAACTCACCTGAGCCTGGGCAGCCGGGGCTTTCTCTCAGGAGCAGGAAACCTCAGATGCTCGGCTCCTGTCAGAGAGAGAGAAGGGGAACTTTGATGCCTCCATTACCAAGTATTAGAAAACTGATTCTGTTTGACATTTACAAAGCTCAGAGATTTGTGACCGAGATAGAATTTCACTGAGACTGTCCCATGAAAGCAAACATTACATACATGCTTAGAAGTGGTTTATCAGGCTTCCATAAAAGTTAGGACAAGAGATGATGGAGTAGAAATGAGCCTTGACACTTGGGGAGAGGAGCGACCCCCTGGGTTTCCAGAAGTCCTTTGTCCCCAGGATGCTGTCGCCCCCCTGTCGTTGTCCAAAGTTGGAGCACAGCCAGAGATTTAGGGACATGGAGCTCTTGGTGGCCTCGGCTCCCTGCCGGGGGCCTCTCCATATGATAAATGTCCTCATTCCTTTACAGTCAGGAAGTGGGGTCTTCTGGGAGGGACAGAAAGGTTATGCTTCTAGCTTCTGAAGTGGTTGGTTTGGCCACGGGAGCTGCTGGGCGTGAGCTTTGCAGCGGGGGGTGCCTGGGCTTTGATGCCAATTCTACCTCTGTAGGAGCTGGATAATTTTAAGCAAGTCTGAACACGCAGAGCCTCAGTTTCCTCATGTGTAAAATGGGAATAAGAACACTTTGGGGTACTACTTTGGGAGCAAAGATCTGTTGTGCAAACTGCAGTCGGGATGACTGTTTACTTGGCCTGAGAGTCAGGAGGAAGAAATCCGAACATGCTAGCCTGTTGAGCCCTAAGCACACATCCTCCTGGCAGGCTGCTCGTTGCTCCCCCCACAGCAGCATCTGATGTGTCCTGGGAAGGGTCAGTGGGTGGGAAGATCAGAGTCAGAAACACCCAGCTGTGCTTCCGTGGGGCTGCGGTGCACACGCCTGTTCGCCGGGCTATGCTGAGCCTGGCTGCAAGGCCTCAGGCAAGTGGTCATGGAGAGGACAGGCTTCGTGTCATGACCTTGTTCGGGTTTCGTGAAAGGCATTTGAGTTATGAAAAGCCCAAGCAGACGTCATCACAATCAACATGGCCAATGTGTCTTGGTGATTACTGAACGAGTTTTTATGGAAGACACATTTTCATATGGCACATGTATATTGCCTTGATAGGTTTTCTAATTCGTGATTTAAAGAGTGTATAAAATAAGTCTCTGCATTGCATAGCGGCTTAAAGAACAGGGCGGTGGTTAGGGAAGGAGTGGTAGAAGGGTGACTTCCCCCTGGGGTGGGGGCAGGTACACACAGGGAGGGGGATTATGGGATGGGGATGAATAGATATGTGGCTGGGCTGTTTTCAATTTCGAGAATAGAAGAATTTCAAACTTGAAAATATTACAACTTCTTATTATCTTTAAGAAAAGTATACATGTGCCATGTTGGTGTGCTGCACCCATTAACTCGTCATTTAACATTAGGCATGTCTCCTAATGCTATCCCTCCCCCCTCCCCCCACCCCACAACAGGCCCTGGGGTGTGATGTTCCCCTTCCTGTGTCCAAGTGTTCTCATTGTTCAATTCCCACCTATGAGTGAGAACATGCAGTGTTTGGTTTTTTGTCCTTGAGATAGTTTGCTGAGAATGATGGTTTCCAGCTTCATCCATGTCCCTACAAAGGACATGAACTCATCGTTTTTTAAGGCTGCTTAGTATTCCATGGTGTATATGTGCCACATTTTCTTAATCTAGTCTATCATTGTTGGACTGCACATTGTGCACATGTACCCTAAAACTTAAAGTATAATAATAAAAAAAAAGAAAAGTAGTGTGTTAGATTAGACTTTTTCTTATAGAAAGTCTGGTGCAAGGTTTATTGCTGCCTACTACACATGGTATTAGAAGGTATTAGAAGGCAGCTATGCACTATACAGATACATGCATCTCTGAAAAAGTCATAAAAACTTGTATCTTCATCATATTTAACTGAACTCAGTAAAAACTGATTAAATAGAGAAATCCTGAGTGTCTACAGCTCTGTTTTTACCCATTTCCTTATATGATTTTATACAATGTCATGTACGTGCCTATGTATGTGACTGTGCATACACACACATCAATATGCACTTGGCATTGGGGGCAGTCCTTCCGCAGTGGGAGTCGTATGTGTCTACTCATATGTGCGCGTGACAGGAAGGTCACAGGCTAAGACATTTTGCTTTAAATGTGTGGACACTGGCCTGAAGGCGGAGTCTAAATGCTGGGTCTGCCCTACTGGCCTGTGGCTGTGGGCCCAGCACTTTCTCCGTGGCCTCAGTTTTCTCGTCTGTAAAGTGGGGTCTTCATAGCCACCTGGTAGGGCCATTCTAAGTATAAGAAACCATGCCTAAAGTGCTGAATCCCACGTTTCCTTCCTACCACTTACTCAATAAATGGAAGCTATTACTCTGTGTTTTCAAACATCAGCTTACAAGTGGAGAAGTGAGTTGAATGAGTTTTTAAAGGCTTTCCTAAATCTATGGTTTAATGAAATTATAAATATGTATATATTATTGCAACAGAAAAGCTTTGTGGTAATTCCTTTGCTATTCATATCATAGTCATCTCTGAGACACTAAGCCAGTCTAGGAAGTACATGTGTCTGAAAACGCTGATTGAGGTTAATATGCGGCAAACTGCTTTCATATCTGAATGCCCCTGAAACATAAAATGATGATATCAGATGGGGCCCTTTGCTTCAGAAACTCACTGCAGCTGGGAGAGCATTCCACTTAGAAAACAAATGGGCTCCATATAAAGGGGTAAATTTAGTGTAATGGATAATGTATACAAGATGACTTGGATCCAGATGGAATTCAGTCAAGAGCTAAGCAGTGTGGTGTATGGATCGCTGAATCTGTATCTGGAGAAAAGTTGTAAAGTGGGAATACGGACAGGAGCAAAATATGAAAAAGAGAAAAGGTACGAGTGTCCACTTAAACAGCGCATCAGAGCACGCGAGCGTTTTCTTGTCACACACGTGTGCGTTGTCTAAACGTGCAAGGGAGAGAATTCCCGAGCCGGGCAGAGCACTGCTGTGAGTTGCTCAGGAAAGGCCTCCTAACCTCAAGGCGGGTCCACAGAATCAATGGCGCTAAGCTACTGTTAATTACTTTGATCTGCCGTAATAACTTTATTCAGACGGGGTAGGGAGCTGGGTTAACTTTTCCTCGCTGTCAGAAATCCACGCTCCAACAGTGGGACTCGGGTCAGCCCCTGCGAGGGAGGAGGCCTCGTGGAAGCCCTGCCAGCCCGCACCCCACTCACCTCATTTGCTCAACTGGGCAGGAGTCACCCCCCAGCTCGGATTAATACCTGCAAATCCTCCCTTATGGAGCCAGGGCATGCGAGTGCTGCTTAAATAAACTAACCCCTCCCTGAGTGAACAAGGAGGGGTCTCTAAAGAGAATGAGATGAGCCGCAGACCGCAAACACACCGGGAACAGCACCCGTTCTGGAGACACCCCTTGGCCTCCTGACACGAACACGCAGATTCTTCATTAAAAATCACTCTGAAGCCCCAGTGCTTAAACAACTCAACGAATAAACGTGTGCATAGAAAATACTTCAAGCGCACTCTGCCAAATGCACTTTGATTTTTCCATTTGTTGTTATGCTAGGTTGTCTGGAGGTCGGCTTTAAGTTTCCAGGTCCCGAGGAAGTGAGTCTAAACGTAATCGTGGCATGTAAGCGGCTGGGCTGTGGGCTCAGCTTCCAAACCGCAGCTGGGCACTGATTTTCCAGCCAGACAGGCTCAGCCTCTTTTCGGTATAGATGCAGCACCGGCATTGGTGGAGGGAAATGATTTAATTATTAAAGCTGTGAACTTTACGTCCGTTCTTTCCCGTGTGTTCACGATGATCTCATAATTTCCACATGGACACTCCTGTCTGTCACGTTTCTCAAAGCTGCACCCACACGTGGATCCCACTGCACGCCTTCATGCAGGAGCGGTGTGTCCCGGGAGTTTCCCTGACTCCTGTTCTTAGAGGGACAGAGCGACCTCAGGACCTTCTCAAAAGAAGAAGGGATGTGGCAGACCTGGGGGCACCTCATTAAATGAAATTCTGGGGAGCATTGGCAGGTGAGGGCCCCTCAAATATGAAGAAAAAGGACTAAGCCTTTAAGTCCACACTTCACATTTCAAGTTGCTGAACTGCGTTTGTTTCAGCTTTGAACAGGTGTCTAACCTACAGAGAAGAGAGGAAAGAGTGTGTGTGTGTCGGGTGTGCGTGGTGTGTGGTGTGTGTTTGTAGTGTGTGTGTGGTATGTGGTGTGTGTGTGTGGTGTGATGTGTGTGGTGTGTCTGTGTGTGTGGTGTGTATGGTATGTGTGGTGTGTGGTGTGTGACTGGTGTGTGTGGTGTGTGTGATTCATGTGTGATTTGTGTGTGTGTGTTTTTATGGTGTGGGTGGTGTGTGTGGGGTGTGGGTGTGTGTGTGTTTGTATGGTGTGTGGGGTGTGTGTGGGGTGTGTGTGTTTGTATGGTGTGTATGTGGTGTGCGTGTGTGGTGTGTGTGGTGTGAGTGTGTGATGTGTGTGGTGTGTGGGTGTGTGTGTGGGGTGTGTGTATGGTGTGGGGTGTGTGTGTTTGTATGGTGTGTGTGGTGTGTGTGGGGGTGTGTGTGTTTGTATGGTGTGTGCGGTGTGCTTGTGTGGTGTGTGTGGTGCATGTGTGGGGTGGGGGGTGTGTGTGTTTGTATGGTGTGTGTGGTGGTGTGTGTTTGTATGGTGTGTGTATGGTGTGCGTGTGTGGTGTGTGTGGTGTGTGTGGAGGTGTGTGTATGGTGTGTGTGGTGTGTGTGGGTGTGTGTGTATGGTGTGTGTGTGCTGTGTGTGTGTGCTGTGTGTGAGGGTGTGTGTGTGTGGGTGTGTGTGTTTGTATGTTGTATGTTGTGTGTGTGGAGGGTGTGCGGGTGTGTGTGGGGTGTGGGGGTGTGTGTGTGATGTGTGTGTGTAGTGTGTGTGGGGTGTGTGTTTGTATGGTGTGTGTGGTGTGTGTGTTGTGTGTGTGAGTGTGTTTGTATGATGTGTGTGTGGTGTGTGTGTGGGATGTGGGTGTGTGTGGTGTGTGTGTGGTGTATGTGGTGTGTATGGTGTTAGTGTGTGTGGTGTGTGTCTGTGTCTGTGTGTGTTTGTGGTGTGTGTGCTGTGTGTGGTGTGTGTATTTGTGTGTGTGGTGTGTATGGTGTTAGTGTGTGTGTCTGTGTGTGTCTGTGTGTGTTTGTGGTGTGTGCGTGCCCCCACACACCTTTCCGACGGATGGGGCCATGTCCTTAGGATGCAGAGGGAGGATGGCTGGACATTTCTCTACGGGGGAACGAACACAGCTCCTTGCCTTCCCTCGAGATCCTGACTGGAGTCCAAGCTCCTTAGTAATGCACGAGATAGGCTGCCTATTAAGATCAAACAAAGGACATAGAAAAACAACAACAACAACAACTAGCTTCCACACAGCTCATTTGGTGGAATTTACACATAGCTGTAAATGAATTAAATTGTTAGATACTGGAGTATTGTCTCTGAGTGCGAGCTGTTCATTGAAAAACAGCAGCAAACCCCGTCTCCGTGCAGTTCTTAAAATGTAGCATTTAGTTTATCTGGACATTTCTTGCCTTTGCTTATCTTTCTGCCTATCTTGGAGAACCTCATTAAACAATTAAATGTTCTTTTAATTGGTACGTCTCCTCATTTTATTAGGTGGAGGCAATACGTGTGATGGATTCCCGGGTCTGGCAGTGGCGTGCCTGAGCCTGGGATCCAGCCGGTACCTGGGCGTGTGTGGACAAAACGCCTCCTAACAAGTTCCCGGGCCCTGACACCACGGGCGGCATTCGTGTGGGGAACGCGGGGCACCCAGATGGCTCATCTATTTCTGTGCTCCATTTTAAAAAATGGCCATGGGACAGACACATGGCTTCATCAGAGCTAAATCCGATTTGCCTGTTTGGCTTTCAGAAGTGGTTGAACCAGATGCTCAAAGAACCTGAATCGGCGCTTGTTTGGAAGAGGATGCACTGCAGAAATCCTCCTGTAAGTCACAGTATCCACTTTGGAAATCCTCCTGTAAGTCATAGCATCCACCACATGTCCTGGCTGCGGAAGAGGCTGGTGGCAGCTTCAAAAGACACCTAATCTGTAACCAGCACAAAGGGTGGTCGATGAAGACTCGGTCTCAGTGAATAATTTATTGGCATAAGCTAAGCACCAAACACAGGAGATCACCATAAAACCACAAGGACCAGGACAGCCATTGAGCTTTGTGGCTTCTTCATGGGGGAAGACGTGAGACAAAACGTGCTTGGACTTTTCGTCACAACCCTCGGAAAACAGCACGTCCTGATTTTTCATCCCAGGCTCCTCCAAGTTTAACTTTCTTTAAAAATACATAGGTAATGATGAATATCTATCTATCTATCCTTTTGAAACACAATATTGATATTGGCTATCGGTATCTGGCTTTTCATATCTCCCCCCATGGCTGATATCAGCCACAGGGTAAACAGAAGATCACATTTGTTATAACTGCTATGGGAATGTTATTAAAAATGGATACAGTCACGGTAAATTGGTAGCGGTCAAAATGTATTTTAAATTTACTTGCAGGTGTGTTTGAACACAGAGCATGACACACACACTGCATGCTATAAATATGAGATGTGGAATGAATTATATACCTTATCTAAATTATGACACAGAAGATAATAGTAGCCAACCTCATAATTTAATATCCTTCAGGATGTAATGGTACTTTTTGTTTAACTAGTAGGATTCAGACAATCAGTACAACATAAAACATAAATTAGCACGATGCTAAAACAAACACGAATATTTGTGCATGTTACTATGTAATCAGGTGCCGGCAAACATGGATGTTGCTTTGAGAGCCTGTCTGTTTTTAATTAAAAGAGTGCCACATAGAACACCGTGCTTAACATTAGAGAAGAAACTCAATACAATCTCCCAACCAGCCTATTTATGACAAAATGATTGATTTTCCTTTAGAATGGCCACACCGTAGATTTTGGTAATATGACTTATTGACTAGCGCTCTGAGTGCTTTCAGCACTAATGATAGGTTGAAGATATACCAAATCCCATACACCCTAGGATTTCCTCCACTGTCCGGGAGATTGTGTACATCTGGTTTCTCTCAGCTCTTGAAATTCTCATTAGTGAGGGTTTGCCGGGAGTAAATCCTGGTCTTCGAGGAAGTGAGTTAATTAGGAGTTGGTTTTACACGTTTTCATTGCAATCTTTACACTTCTGTGGAGCCTATTAACAATTGCGGGCTCCCTTCTGCCTTGGGGAGCTGTGGAGCTGGCTGTCCTATGAACGGTGGTCTCAGCAAGGTCATTTAGAGCTTACTGGTGTGAGGGGTGATGGAGACAGTCCTCTAAGAGCACAGTAAATCAATCATGATTAGCACGGGGCCTGCTTCCTGCACAGAGAGGCGAGGTGGGGCTGGGGGAGGTCTGAGGGAGGTGCAGCGGGCAGCGCGTGCAGAGAGAGACCGATGTTTCGTGGCTTCGGGCCCCTCTGTAGGGCAATCAGAGTTTGATCTCATTATGGTCAACACTAACATTTCTGGGAGGTCAGCTTTCTCGAGGTTTTGGCAGGAAGAGCCGCGGGAGTGAAGTATTTTTGGAATCCTGTTGGTGCAGTCACTCTGCACGTACTGAGGTTTGCTTTCCCTGAATGCTGGGTGAGAACATCTCAGTGAATGGAGTTTGACACCAACTGATCCCATCCGAATGCATCCTCATCCCTCCATTTGGGCTGCTTTTATTTCGTCTGTTTTTCCCTGAGACAAATGGGTGCCATGTCCTCTGTTGTTTTTGTTTCTCCCTCTGCTCCCTGCTCAGCGTCTCCCTCATGACACGCAGGTCCTTCTCCTCAAGTTCTCCCCACGCCCATTCCTTCTGGCCTAACTCTGAAGGTGCTTCTTCCAGGAGGGCCACCCTCCGAACACGCTGGTGCCCTGGGTCCTTTCTCGGCAGCTCTGGGGCTGGAGCTACAGAGGCCAGCGATCTGTGGGCATTTACTTGTTTACAGATGTTAGCTGGGTGTTCTCACCAAGCAGTCAATTCTCCGGGCCCAGGAAACATTTAGCACAATTCTTTGCTGTTTCTCACAGTGCCCGGTAGAATGCAAAGGGTATGCGGACTGTCTACAGATACTTGTTGATTAATTGGTGACATGAATGCTTATTGGACTCTAATATTGATCTAAAAACTTTATGAGGGCAGACACTGACAGCAGATGCCGTGATCACAGGAGAGAAAGATACACAAAGACACTTTTAGTGTTGTGTGCGAGTGTGTGTCCGTGGGTGTGAGTGCGACCCTTGTCTCTTATGTGCTTGTCAGAACATGCCAGGAGTTGTGGTGGTCAGAGGAAGCTAACTGAAAACAAAGAAGCGAAAAATAAGAAAAGAATCCCTTGATTGGGTTTTTGAGGCTGTGAGGGTCCTGAGGGGCAGAGGCAGATATTGGAACAGCACAACCTGCCTCTCTGTGCACGCCCTGAGAGCTCAGGCGGTGGCTGGAGGCAGGACCTTGGTCCTCGGCCCCGTCCCCTGGACTTAGGGCTGCACACGACCCAGGCTCCCTCCTTCTCCCGCTGTGTGTCTCAGGCCTCAGCTGCTGCCTCTGAGGGAGCACAAAGATGCACGGTGGGCTCTGCTGTGTGAACCGGTGTCACCTACATCACGTGTATCATTGCTTCACATCACTTAGGAAGTAGACTCTCCTATGGTGGGCCAGGAGGCCACCCCCGTGGTCTCACAAGGGGCAGTCATCACATGGATGAACCGTTCCAATGACCCGGGTTTTCTCTAATATTTCTAGTAGCCTGAATTACAGATGATCGCACCAGAGACTTATCAGCAAGATTCGTTTGGGTGTAGAAACAGCAACAGCACACCATGGCAAGGGTAGCCGAGGCTCCATCACATACCCAGGACCAAGAGGCATTCCTTGGGAACCCAATGATTACTCTCATGAATTTGCAACGTGTTACACTGTCTGAAGCTGGACATATATATTTGTGTCTGTCACTGCTTTCACCCGAGGCTCACTTGGCGAGGGTCTGCCAACACGGCCATCTCTGAGGTGTTGGGAAAGCCTTTTGAGGATGTCTGGCTCCCGAGGGCACGTCCTGGAGAGCCTGCAGAGATGAGACAAGCCCAGCCTGCTGGGGTGAGCACTGGTGTGGGTGGCAGCCCAGGCTTGAGGAGTGGGGGATTGGAGGAGTTCTTTCTTGGGGTCACAGAGGAGGAGAATTTAGCTCAAATTCTCTCTTTTTGAGTTTCCACTCTTCAGTCACAAAATAACTGTCCAAAAAGCCTCCCTTTGTTCCCGCTCCAGCTTTACTGGAGCCCATGATGCCTCATGAATCACAAGGCAATTCAACAACACAGAACACAGCTCCCCATGTGAGCTGTGAGCCTGAACTCAGAACCCAGCTTCCCACGTGGGCTGTGAGCCTGAATTCAGAACCCAGCTTCCCACGTGGGCTGTGAGCCTGACCTCAGAACCCAGCTTCCCACGTGAGCTGCGAGCCTGACCTCAGAACCCAGCTTCCCACGTGGGCTGCGAGCCTGACCTCAGAACCCAGCTTCCCACGTGGGCTGTGAGCCTGACCTCAGAACCCAGCTTCCCACGTGGGCTGTGAGCCTGAATTCTGCCACATGGTGGTAGACCAAGCTGGAACTCGTGACGGACGCCGATGGACATGAAGCCACCTGAACCCAAACCATGGACAGCTCCGGAGAGCCACAGGAGCCGAGGCCTCCACGTGTGCCGTGCTGCTGGGATGCCTGTAACCCTCACATGCTAGAAGACTTGGGATTATACAGAAGAGAAGAAGGTGTGGCTTCTGGAATGCTATAATCTCACCTTTATCTCTGACTATTTAGGACACACTCTTGTTTCTCAGTTTCTCCCTCTCCATCCTCCTTGGGAAGGCCTGAGTCATGTTAGAAAGGGGGAAAGTGCTGAACTTGCTGGGGTTTAAAGCGCCCACTGATGCTGTGGACACCTGGCTCCTAAGTGTTTTGCGGTTTGAGCCATGGCTTGAGTCAACTCCAGTGCTTTTATGGTTGCCATCCCGGCTAGATGTGGGGATCTTCTGTTTCTATGTAATAAATGCATGAACACATCTAAATCATGTTGTTTTTATGTTTAGATTGCCTCCGAGATGGGTGTGTCAGCAGACCTGTGCCAAGTGAGCCTCAGTTGAAAGCAGTGACAGACACAAATCTGTCCAGCTTCAGACACTGTGACATGTTGCACATTCACGAGAATAATTGCTGCATTCCCAAAGAACGCCTCTTGGTCCTGGGTATGTGATGGAGCCTCAGCTACCCTTGCCGTGATGTGCTGTTGCTGTTTCTAAGCCCAAATGTTTTGGCAGCAGTGTCTCTCTAAGGCACCGTGTTTGGTTTTCCGGAAAGGCTTCGTATTTGGCTGTCAGTGGTCCTAGCGTCAATGATACGTGTGCTCATTTCCAGGTGATGAAGCTGCTTCCAACCCCCATGTGCCTAAGGATCCATTTACAGAATATGTTAATAAATGCTAATGGGCCATTTTAAGTGATTGTTATCAGGCTCTGTTTCTGAAGGCGGACTTCCATCGAGGGGGAGCCATCCCCACCCCAGAGGCCGCCCTGCTCATTTGGACATTCGCTCTCTCACACAGACTCTTCAGCCCTGGTGCAGGGTCACTGCTGGTTGAATAGGAGGCTCCAGCAGGTTTAGTCGATATGTAAACGAGAATTTCCTCCCCTCTCCTGGGACTTCTTTTCATATCATTGATAAACACAAATAAACAGCAAAGAAAATAAGCCCAGCAAAAGATGTTTTAAATAATTTTAAAAACCTCCACCTTTTTTCTGTGTCTTGGCATCTGAAAACTTGAGTAATCTATTGAAGCCATGTTTTATTGCTTGTGTACGAAATAATATTCCAAGCCCTTTAATAGGAGAGTAAGGAGTGTTTGTCTGTTCAGAGTGGAGCTGGTGCGGACACCCATTCGGGATTCTGGGGCATGACGGTGGGTGTGTGCCTCTGTGCCCCTGGGCAGCTTGCCCAGTCTGAGTGGAGGGCTTTGGGTGGCCAGAAGCAGAGCTGAAAAAGACAGCGCTGCCATAAAGAAGATAGGAGGCATCCCTGAGTGACCCACACAGAACAGGAGGTCATGCAACATGTCTACTGACCATCTGGATGACCCTGGAGGTGAGGGTGCACAACGGTGGGAGGCTGAGCTGTTGATGCTTGACCAGATGGGACAAGAGGGAGGATGATGGCCTCTGGCTTACAGCACAGCCTCATGGAGTGGAGATTTTGAGGACGGAACGTTTGAAGATCCTGTTAAGATCATCACATTAGTGATGCAGTATCATAACCCCAAGATAAGTAAACAAACAATCTTGTTCATAATATTTATGCTCCTTGTTCCCCATTCTTTGACTTTCTGTTGATTGGTGGCCAAGTATATCCAGTGGAAAGCTTTTAGAAAGTACATTTCCTCAGCTGGGTGCGGTGGCTCACGCCTGTAATCCCAGCACTTTGGGAGGCCGAGGCAGGCAGATCATGAGGTCAGGAGATCGAGACCATCCTGGCTAACACGGTGAAACCCCATCTCTACTAAAAATACAAAAAATTAGCCGGGTGTTGTGGCAGGTGCTTGTAGTCCCAGTTACTTGGGGGGCTGAGGCAGGAGAAAGGCATGAACCCAGGAAGCAGAACTCGCGCCCCTGCACTCCAGCCTGGGTGACAGAGTGAGACTCCGTCTCAAAAAAAAAAAGTAGATTTCCTCATCATTATCATTTTATCTTCTGTAAATATTGTATCATGAGCCATTCAAGCCCAACATCTTATGGGGGGCGGGGTGGGAAAAACAAAAAGAAAAGTGTTTTAATATTTTTGGATGTGCTGAGATCCGTATTTTTTGGTGAGCATGTCCCATGCGGAGTTCAAAGCACTGAGGCATGGTATCCTTTGGGTCTCCCTGGCATGACCCCTGTGGCTGTCCTACAGTGATTCCTGTGTTAAACCCTCACAAATCCCCTGCTGTGTGCAGGTTCAGGCCACAGAAAGCCACTCCTCTTCCCTGTGGGGGTGACATGTGAGCTTTTCCTGGAGACTGGGAGGAGCAGCTGGAGGAACAAGGTGAAGAGGAACCTCCCACTGACCTGGGGATTTGAACCAGAACCTCGTTCCGCCATGCTCTTCCTCCATGGATTTCTCTTTCTAACATTTTCTCTGCCCTAAAGATTTGGCCTGGCATAGCTTGTGAGAGTTGGTCAAACTGGCTCATGCATTTCTTTCTCTTAACAAGGTTTGGAGTTGGAAACAATCCCCTTAATTCAGGGGAGGTGCTCATTACCGAGGTGAGGCTGAGCTACTGGACGCTGGTCACCGTGTTGCAGGGTGTGGCCCTTGTGGTGAAGCCATCAGCCAACTGCTCTCTCTGTGGGATGGTGGTAGAGCTAGAGGGGTTGTCGTCTGCAGCTTTGGACATGGAAATCTGTTTTCATTTTGTTTCTGCTCTGGCAATGGACATCTGGTCTGTAAAGATGGCTGAGTGATGAGAACTCTGGCCTTTCATTTCATTCACTTGTTTAGTAAATATTTGCAATGAGTCAACTGTTGGGAAGGGTCTAGTCAAGGTTCTGGGAGTTTAAATAAAGAAGACATGGTCCTTACCCTCAAAGAGTTCTCCATCCACTGGAAAAAGAAACACAGTGGTTTGATGCTGTGGTCTGGGCCCATGACCGGGCTGGCTGTTTCCAGTGTAGAGATGCGTACCCCGTGCAAAGAATAAACAGCTTACAGGGAGAGGGCAGCTTCAGCAGAGGCACACCTGTGCTCGCGCAAATCTGTGAACTTTTGACTTGTCTAGGATGCGAAGACTTTTCTGATAACTTCGAAACACCCCTGCAAATATGATCAACAGTGCAACTTGCTTATCCAGAAGTAGAACTTGGTTTTAGCCAAAGCATTTGAGCCACAATAAAACATTCAGAAGAGAGAGAGGCTTGCTCATGTCATCAGATTAATGAAGTCTTTCCTACCTTCACAGCCTGAAAAAGATACTGCTTTAGACTGTGGGGGACCTTAGGATACAAACTTTAGACATCAGCTACCACCTTCCACCCCACCACTTGGGAGAGATGGTGCCACCTTCCACCCTGCCACTGGGGAAAGATGGTAAAACCTTCCACCCCGCCACCACAGAAAGATAGTGCCATCTTCCACCCTGCCACTGGGGAAAGATGGTACCACCTTCCAACCTGCCACTGGGGAAAGATGGTGAGCTATCATCAGACTTCAACATTGTAAGAATCTTTCTTAATCAGCAAATGTACCTGTATCTATATTTATCTTCTCCTGAATTTGGGGAGAGGCGAAGAAAGAGATTTCCCCATCTCTATTATGAACTACTCAGAAGGTTCTATACTTATGGGATTTTGTCGGTCAATAGGACATTTTCCTCTGAACCTAACATTTTGTATCATTTTCCATGGGTTTCCTCATTTCTTTTCTTAAAGCTTATATAGAAGAATACACTGAAGTATTCAATTCCACACTGTTTAAGTTTTGGGGAATTTTTCTGTAGACTGACCTGCTGTGATGACTTACAGTTAAAGATTGAGATCTATTTTTGAATTACTCTGTTTGAAGTTTTTTTTAATCATTACATTCCTTAACATCTTAAAGTTTACAGTTAAAAAATTTTTATTTAAACAAAATGCAAATCTGGTATAATGATGGTGAAATTACTTTTAGTGTAATCGTTTAAATAATCGACACCCACTGCAGAACTGACGGAGCTCTAACCGTGGGGGTCGCACCGCATGCAAGACCCCTCGCCACCCTCTTTTCAGGCTCCCCATGGGCCTTGGGATCACACCGGGCACGTTCACCATCAGGCACTGCAGGTTGGCCTCAGGACAAAAATGCATTTTTCATCTGACAAGTCCGACGCATGAATAAACAACTTAAATGCAATTTAAGTACTATGATGAGGTGAGGCATAATTAATTTTAAAATCATAGTTAAGTGTGTGGTCTCCTGGCTCATTTAATGTGAGAAGAACATCACTAAATAGCTTGCTTTGCACGGATGGAACAGCCGCTGTCTTCCAAGTGTTGGTGTGTTGTTTCCTTCTCCCTCCTAGACCAGATTTTTTAAGGTTGCTGTGATTACCTCATAAACTATTTGAAAGCTCCAGTTCACAAAAGCATCTTAGAAGTGCCGGGGCTCTGACTCACTTCTCTTTAGTGTCTTTGAAATTTCTGTAGCTCGAATCACAATGGCTCCTGCTGGTGACAGCTCTCTCTCTCTTCCTCTTGCTCCCTTATCTCATATGACTCCTACTAATGTTGTTTTATGGCACTTTCTTAAATGTAACATTTAGCATGATTTCCTTGTATTTACACTTGAGAAAAATAATAATAAATACTACAATTTTAAGTCATTTTGTGGGAAAAATATAATTGTACTGCAATGATGATTCAATGTCACTCTTGCTTTTCAGTGATGCTTATATGTGACCTTTTTTTATCTCCCTGTGGGAAGTCTCAAATTCTGCAATGCAACTAAGGTAGGAAGATGTTATCTCTTTTTCCTAAGTTTGAAAACTAAGACACAGTCTGATTAAGTGAACAATTGATTTAATTATGTCACATATTATCAAAGAATGAGTACCATTCAAAGATTAAAAATATTTATTGGGTTGAAATTCAGCTCCTCACAATGACTCATGAGTGCCAGACATTACGGTGTCTATTTTATAGGTGAGGAAATGGAGGTTGAGAGGAGTTAAACCACTTAACCGATGCCTGACAACTGGTAAATGGCACCAGGAAGTGATTCCAAGTCTGTCGAATTCCAGGCTGATGCTTGTCACCGCTTACCATTCTAACCTCCAAAATCGATTGGCTAGAGGAGACGCTGCCCCTGTTAGAAATAAAGTGAAGGCTTTGTGTCTTCCTCATTCAGTCTCACCATCAGCTCCAGTGGTCTGCAATCCTGAAAGAACACACAGGTGCCATGACAAACCTTATCAAAGCTGAGACAACTGGGGCTCCAGCCCAGCTCCAGAGCTGTGCCATGGCGGGGTGTCATCTGCCCTCCTGAGCACAGCGTGTGAGGTTTAGAGACTCCCAGCAGGGCTCCACCCACACTGCAGTTGCATTGGCCACAGGAGACCCAGGCCATGCTGGGTTCCATCATTTGTCAGCAGGCATTGAATGATCGAAGTTTTGAAAGTATTATGGGAATTCTTATAGAGGTACAACTTAACTATCATCTTTATAAATGGGTAGGCTTCTAGGTGGGGAAGGGGTTTGGATAGTTGCACTGAGAAGTCAATTGGAAAGGAGCCCATGAGGCATCAGTTAATGGGAAAACCACACTTTGGCAATCATAACTTGGCATAGACAGCAACTTATATCTAAGTGTTTATTAGCATTCAGTGCTCAGCACAGGTGTCTTCAAAAATCCAAACCGGGAACAGCAGCTTCAGTTCTGGTGCTTCCAGGTTCTAAAGGCCACAACGTGAGCACATGCTGTCCAGACATTTCCAGCTCTGTTGCTGAAGTGTGAAGAAAGTGCCCAGCCCATGTCTAGATCTGATGGAACTCGTTAGCCTAGGAGCCACAGTCCCTTGAGGCAAGGATGGTGGCTGAGTCATCTTATTATCCCTGGAGTGCATTTTGTACTTATGCTTGTAATATATGTTTAAATAACCACACCCAACTTCAATTTTTATCCCCTGATCTTTTAGTAAAGGCGGTATTGCACCGAAGTGCTCTGGTTCACACTTTATAAAAAGAACTTGCTCTTTTGAGCATGAATTTCCTCACCTGAAAATTGAGTATATTAACAGAATCTGCCTCCTAGGGTTCTTGTGAAATTAAAAGAGATAAAGTGATAGTATCATACATGAGATACATTCATTAGAAGTTTGGAATTCTTTATTTTTAGCAACAATTCCTCTCATCACATCCTCATACACGCTTTCACTTGATGTCAACATGCGAAGTTTGGTGTCTTGGAATGGCCATTCCCTAGGCAGCCCCATCTGCCTTTTAGTTTGAACTTCATAATTGAACACATTTTTATTATTTCAGAAATCACAGCAGGGCTAACATTTATTGAGAATTTACCGGAAGCCTGGCACCATGTTGTGTACATAGCATTGTGAGATTTAACATACATGAATATCATATTATGCAAATAGTGTTTTCATTTACAAATAAGAAAGTGGTGACTAAGAGGGGTAAGTGCCGTCCTAACATGACTCAAGGGCCCCATATGTCCTGGCTCTAGAGCAGGTGTCCCCAATCCCTGGGTCATAGACTGGTACCCATCCATGGGCTGTTAGGAACTGGGCCATACACAGGAGGTGAGCAGTGGGTGAGCAAGTTTTACCACCTGAGCTCCGCCTCCTGTCAGTTCAGCGGTGGGATTAGATTCTCATAGGAGTGCAAACCCTACTGTGAACTGTGCATGGCAGGGATCTAGGTTGCATGCTCCTTCTGAGAATCTAATGTCTGATGATCTGAGGTGGATGGAACATTTTCATCCCAAAAGCATCCTCCACTCCGCAGCCCCTGTCCCTACCCTAGTCTGTGGAAAAATTATCTTCCACAAAACTGGTCCCTGGTGCCAAAAAGATTGGGGACTACTGTGCACCCTTCCAGTTTAGTTCTTCACCTCTTCTCCCTTCATACTTGTTTTATGCTGAATGTCTGATCCTTGAAGTATACCTTTCCCTTCTTGAAAGCTTGCTGAACTTAGCACTAATAGTGTGTATGCATGTATGCAACTCCCTGGTGCTTTCAATATATGACATCACATCACCTGCAGCTAGAGGTAGTTGTACGTCTTCCTTTCCAGTCTGAATGCCTTTTGTTTCTTTCCCTGGCCTAATTGCCAGGACTGTAATCTCCAGAACAATGTTAGATAGAAGTGGTCGCATGTATATCCTTGTCTTGTTTCTGATCTTGGAGGGAAAGCTTAGTTTTTACCATTAAGTAATAAGTTAGCTGCGGGTTTTTCATAGGTGACCTTTATCAGGTTGAGGAAGTTCCCCATGATTCCTAGTTTATTGAATTTTTTTTTACTATGAAAGTATGTTGGATTTGTAAAATGTGTTTTCTGCATCTATTAAGATCTATTAAAAGCTTTGTCTGTATCTATCATGTGCTCTGTCCTTTAATCTATTAATATGGTGCATTACATGGCTGATTTTTGTATGTTGAACCAACCTTGCATTACTGGGATAAATTCCATTTGGTCATGGGCATAATCTTTTTTTTTCTATGTTGCTGGATTCAGTTTAGCCATATATATATTTTTGATAATCCATTTATATTCATCATGGGCACTGGTTTGTAGTTATCCTTTCTCGTAATGTCTTTATCTGCTTTTAGAATCAGGGTAATACTGGACTTACAGAATGGGTTGAAATTTTCCACTCCTTGTTTTACTGTAGGACTTTTATAGTGGAGAGCACACTTTTAATGATTAGCAGGTACATAGAATGGAAATAAATATTTTATTCCTCACAGGTCCTGAGGGGTGCGTGGCATACCTGGAGACCCCACAAATGGGGTCAGGGAGTGCAGGCAGGGGAAGTGTGAATCTGGGGCCCTTGCCTTTAGTGAGGTTCAAGGTGGAGAACTTAGGCATTTGGGAGGCAGGGTAGCAATTGGACAGTTCAAAGCAAACAACTGTGGAAATCCTTTCCCATGAGGAGGTGTTATCTTGAGGTCCTGCTGGCTCTGAGGCTGTGTGTGGGTGTTGGGTGAGGGGTATCTTGCCTCAGCCACAGAAGTGAAAATGAGAACCTGTTATTTGAGCTAGATAGCAAAAACCAAAATGGCTAAAACCAAGTTAACATAAAATTGTAAGAGTTCATTACACTTGTCTCTCTCTCTCTCTCTCCATAAAGAATTAGTGTTAATTCTTCTTTAAATATTTAGTAGATTCTACCAGTAAGCCATCTGGCTTTGGGCTTTTCTCTGTGGAGAAGTTTTTAGTTAGTTTTATTTTTTATTTTTTAAAATTATCACTATGAGTTCAATAACTTTACTTATTGTTATAGGTCTATTTAGATTTTTAATTCCTTCTGGAATCATATTTTCAATTTCTTCTAGAGTACTTCATATCTTTCTAGGAATTTTTCGATTTCATACAGGCTTTTTTTTGGCATGCAATTGTTTATAGTATTCCCTTATAATCCTTTTTATTTCTGTAAGGTAGACAGTAATGTCCCCTCTTTTATTACTGATTTTAGTAATTTAGGTCTTCTCTCTTTTTTTTCTTTGCCAGTCTTGCTTAAGTTTTGTCAGTTTGATTGATCTTTGAAAGAATTTTCATAATTTAAAAATTTTCTCTGTTGTTTTTCTGTTCTCTAGTTCATTTTCACTACTATTTTTATTATTCTTTCTGTTTACTTTGAGTTTATTTTCTTCTTCTTTTATTAGGTTCTTAATACAAAAGATAAAGTTGTTGATTTCAGTTTTCTTTAAAAGTACACACTTATATTGTCGAATAGAAATTAAAGAGATTACAGATGTCCTAGAGATGGAGATATGAAAAATAAAAAAAAAGTACACACTTATAGCTTTAAATTTCGAATCACTGCTTTCACTGCAGTCAATAATATTCATATGTTGTATTTTCATTTTCATTCACTTCACAGTATTTTCTAATTTTTCATTGTGATTTCTCCTTTGACCCATTGTTATTTGGGGGTCTATTGTTTAATTTCCTTCTAGTATAAATTTCCCACATATTTTTGATTTCTAATTTTATTCCATTGTACTTAGATAATATACTTTGTAGGATTTCAGACCTTTTAAATTGACTGAGACTTGCTTAATGGTTGAACATGACCTATCCTGGAAAGTGCCCCAAGTGTGCTTGAAAGGAATGAGTATTCCGCTCTTGTGGGTGGAGTGTTACATATATGTCTGTTAGGTCTAATTAGTTTATAGTGTTGTTCAAGTCCTCTATTTCCTTATTGATCTTCTGTCTAGTTATAGCTGTTATTGAAAGTTAGGCTGAAGTCTCCAATTATTAATGTAAAATTTTCTGTCTCTCCCTCCAATTCTGTCAGTTTTACTTCATATATCCTGGGGCTCTGTTGTTAGGTGCATATATGTTTACAAATGTTATACTTTTTTTTGTGTGTGTTTTTAGTAGAGATGGGATGTTACCATGTTTGCCAGGCTGGTCTCAAACTCCTGACCTCAGGTGATCCACCCACCTTGGCCTCCCAAAGTGCTGGGATTACAGGCATGAGCCACCATGCCTGGCCAAATGTTATACTTTTTTATGAACTGACTCTTTTATAATTACAGAATATCCTTTTTTATTCTAGTGACAACATTTGTTTGAGAGTCTATTTTGTGTGATATTTATGGAGTCACCCCAGCTCTTTTATTTATGGTTATTCTTTGCAAGCAACATTTATTTTTATCCTTTTACTTTCAACTTATTTGTGTCTTTGAATCTAAAGTGTGTCTTCTGTAGACAGTATGTGGTTGGATCTTTCTTTTTTTTTTTTTTTGAGAAGGAGTCTCACTCCGTCGCCCAGGCTGGAGTGCAGTGGCACCATCTTGGCTCACTGCAAGCTCTGCCTCCCAGGTTCATGCCATTCTCCTGCCTCAGCCTCCCAAGTAGCTGGGACTACAGGTGCCCACCACCACACCTGTTTAATTTTTTTGTATTTTTGTAGAGACGGGGTTTCACTGTGTTAGCCAGGATGGTCTCGATCTCCTGACCTCGTGATCCGCCCACCTCGGCCTCCCAAAGTGCTGGGATTACAGGCGTGAACCACCGCGCCTGGCCTCTTTTTAAAATCCATTCTGCCAAACTGCCTTTAATTAGAGTGCTTTGTCTATTTACATTTAATTCAGTTACTGACAAGTTTAGCTCTATGTATGTCATTTTAATATTTGTTTCTATATGTTTAATCTAGTTTGGGTTAATATTTGTTTACTATTGAAATTGAGCTTGTACTAACCTAAACTACATTTTCATTAGCTAAGATACTAATTAAAGTCCCTAGGGCAACCAATAAGAAAATAACTTTAAAAAGGAAAAGAAAAGGTGAAGGAATTATAACGATACACAGACATATCTATTCAACCTCAAAGAAGGCAGTAAAGTAGAAACACAGAAACAAAAATGACATTGAATATATAATACTAATTTACTTTCAATAGTGTACAGAAACTGTGCTTTCATATAGCTCCACGCCCTCTCCATTCCTTTGTGTGGTTATCATCATATAAATTACACATTTATATATTGTGTGCCCATTAACATATATTTCTAAGTATTGCTTTATGCAGTTATCCTTTAAATCAGACAGGGGAGGAGAAGTGTCGCAAAGAGAAACCAAATGGACACTTGCAGTGGAGAAGGCTTTTCATACTGGATGGGCTGTGAGTCGGGTCAGACGAAGACAGCCTTGCAAATGGGGTCCTTCTGGGACCCAACAGGCAGGTTGAGTACTCGGGATTCTCTGGGAATCTGCCCCTCCCATGCCTGCCCGATTGCCGGGTTTCACCATGACTGCTGGATTCTGACTTTCAGGTGTGCTGCACAGCTGGAAAGGAAGGGTGGGAGGAAGCCACGTTAAAATTCCAGTGTGCTCACTGTTCTTACAGTCATGTTCTTTTCAGTCATTTTTCCTGGAAAAAAAAAAAAAAGATCCCTGGATTGCTGCAAATTTTTGGTTAATTCCCTGAGTTCTGAAAATGCTGATCATTTTGCCACTTTTTCATTGCTTTAATGCATGACAGGATTTTCAGACGTCCTTATTTTGCCCTTTTACCTGGCATCATGAGTTTGTGAGGCGTTGGTGTGGCTGACTTCTTGCCTACCTCCAGTAGGGAGCACAGAACCCGGCCTGCACTGAGATGTCATGGCCATCAGCTCAGGGATGGGCAGTGGCCCCGTCTAAGCTAGCAGGAGTCAGCTGGCCTCTGTTAAAACTGTTGGGGCACAGGCTGTTAAACTGATAAAATTTCAGCTTCCATGGGATGGGAGACTCTGCCTGAGGAGGTAGACAGTGCAAAGAAGGCAGAGATCAGCTCTGCAGAGTGACGTCATTGCCACAGCTCCGTCCTCTGATCCAATGGTGCCTGTCCTTTCAGTAGAATGGATGGAAATTCTTGTAGCGCCCAGCTATAGTTTGTGACTGCTCATGTAGAGTGATAGTGTGCAGATATATGTTTATCTGTGGCTTCATGGTATGGTCTTATTGAAGCTCAAATCGGTGTTGCTTTCCCAATACCCGGCCCACAAATCAGAAGTGATGTTGACCATCCTTACAGGTCCTGGAACTGGCCTGGCTCAGGTTCCCACCAGCGAGCTCAAGCTGACATCTCTGTTTTCTCATTTTCACCTCCTGCACACCCAGTTTATGTTAACACAGATTGGGCGGGAACCCTTGTGTGTCTGCATCCAAGTCTGCAGTGCCTATTTATCACTTCGGTGGCAAATGACAGCAACATTAGCATCTTCATTAACTAATATTCACACAGTTTGGGACTTTGGGCTCTGATTGCCCGAAAGACGAATGCTTTTCTTAACTTCAGATGTCCACAAACACGAGGTGAGGCCCAAACACAAGCTATTCTGTTCTAACTAAACTTTACAGCAAGAGCAACAGACATGCATTGCTGCACTCCCACCATAAGGGGAATTTTTACTGAGCTAGAACAGCTTTGGTGAAAATGATAACTTAAATAATTCCTTATAACAACCACAGATGTGTAACCCTTTGGATTATCCTCCTAGTCTTTCCTCCTTAATGCTTTCTTATTTATTTATTTTCATGTTGGCTTGTTACTTTTATTACCTGACCACGCTGTGTGGCCTGTTGTATAAAGCAGTTGAAAGACTCTAATTTTAAAATGAATGGCTAGGAGAATGGGTTCTGTGTTCCCTTACTTTTAAGTAAGGTCTGATTATTCAGACTGACTGCACCACCAACATCCTTGTGAATGGAGCTCTTTTGTATAACTTTTATGATACCTCCTGCCAGGGAAGGTCAGGTTTTAGTGTAATGCGATACCCTATGTTAAAAGGCCCAAATTAACAAATTCCTGAAAGCAAAGCAAGGAATACATTTTAAAATGGTTTTTTTGGGCACGAAGAGGCGGTACATAAGTCAGCAAAGGATAGGCGTGTGTGTTCCAAACCTCACTGCAAATTTACCACCAATGTCTTCAGAAATGCTGGGCAGTGAAGGCAAAACCTACTGCAGATATTTTATAGGTATCGACGACTCTCTGCACATTCATGTTCAGTGAACGCTGCAGGAGGGTGTTTGCCGAAAGCTGTCTTCACATTGAAGAGTGAGCTTTGTTCCCCACAATCAACCTTCAGATGACTCTTCATGAGAGCCTCATAGATTCTTTTGGAATCTTTCTGACAGAACATTGCTACCCGGAGAAAATCCCTCAGTATTAGATTTTGCTCATATTAAAGAGAAATGGTGGTGTGTGTGGCTCTGGTGGGTGCACAGGGATGTGACTGCCAGCCTTGTGAGGCGTCCCTCATTCTCCAGCTTGCTCTGCCTTGCATCTGACAAGCGTGGGGCTTGGCAGGCAGTGGTGACAGGTGACAACACATGACACCCAGTGCCTGGGACCACTCTTTACTCCCTCAGAGAAGCTCCCTGAAAAATCCCCCAAGTACAGTGCAAAGTCTTCCCGAAATTCTTCTTGAGGAGAGTATGCATGCTTCACCCTCTGAGATGAAAAGATGCGGGTCTCAGGCCAAGACAAGGTGCCCAACAGGCAGGTGATGCAGCTCTCTGAGAGCCCTCAGGGAGGCTCTCGGACATGGATGTGTAGTCGGCTTCACTCACGCTCCTGTGACCGTTTCTCTTCGTTTAAGAACCAGAACAGAGTCACTAAAATCCACGTCACTCTGATATTTGATCCCTGGCCTCCAGGGTCAAGTACCCCTGACTGGGTGGCTGGGGCCCCAGCCCTCACAGGTGGTCTTCACGCTGGTCCAGGCCATCGATCAAGTCCAAGCGGAGGGAAGAATGAGGGAAGACGCCACAGCAGTGGGCCCCAACTGGACGGCTGGTCTCTGCAGCGGTCACCTTTCTAAGTTGCAGCCTGTCTTTCTTGTGCTTCGATGGGAACACAAGTCCCTTGCTAGTCCCAGCAACATGTGGCTTGGCTCCTGCTTACAGATGGGGTGCGGCACCCCCTTCCTTCTGCACACACCTCATGTGCCTATCACAGGGAAGGATCTCGAGCTCCAGATTTCTGTACCCTTGTCATATGTTCATCACAGGGTCGGACCTCAGGCTATAGTGTTCTGTGTATATCCCCTGTGCTCACCCCATGTGTCCATCACAGGGACGGATCTCAAGATGCAGCTACTTGTCCTTCATGTGAGGAAGACTGAGCATGATTTCAGGGTCTGTGATCCGGCGTCCAGTGTGTGTGCAGGGACAGGGCTCCGTGAGGTTATCTGAGTGCCAGGGGAGCAGAGTGTGACTTCAGGCTCTTTGATTCAGTGTCCAGTGGGTGTGCAGGGACACGGCTTCATGCGGTGTCTGAGTGTGGGGGGAGCAGAGTGTGCTCTAGAAGGGCAACTCCTCCTTGCTGGGCCCAGTGCATGTCAGAGCCCGAGGAAGAAATGTAAGGTGGAAAGTTCAGCAACTTCTCTGAAGTGGAAAGTTCAGCATCTTCTCTGAAAACTGGAGAAATTCCTGGAGCTTTGGGTTCCGCGTGAGAATATCCTCCTGGGGACGTCAGTAGCCATTCCTAAGATGTTCATCACTCCTGTTGGTTTTTGTTATTTAGTTGATTATTCTTAGCTTTGCTAAAGAATTGGATGATTTGGTTGGCAGCAGAACATGGAGTCATTTTGTTTCTCACCACGGGACAAGTAACATTGACAACCGCCCCCAGTCGTTGTGAGTCATAATTAGAAATTAGAGCCGCACCAGACTGTTTGCCACAGCTGTGAACTCTGGTGGAAGATGCCGCGAACACTTCAAAGCTCTGTCAGTTACTGAACTCACTATAGATATTTTTTTTTGGTGTTGGGGGGGCGGGCGGTGGATAGGCTTACTTTTGCCCACTGTACAAGAAATCCAAAAAGAATTTGTGGATTTTGAGATAGTTCTCAAAGTATTTAAGAACTGCCTTCATTTTTATGGGAAAAATATCTCATTTACTTTTTCTTGAAATCTTTGCTTTTCAGCTTTAGTCACACGTTGTTTTCTATCATGAAAGCTAAAGGCTTTTACTAAATCAGTGAATGGCACGGAAGGGTGAAGATGAAATTTTGAACCAGGCCACAGGTGTCTCTAGTGTTTGTAATTATGCGTCCTGCACACAAGCCTGTACCTGGAACACACTGGGTTTGCCAACATCAAGCTGGTGGCGGGGCTGATTGCAGCATTGCCAAGTACATTCTGCCTGTGTATGAAATGTGTCAAAACAATGCCGGGGCCTGTGCGGATATCTGGATCATGAATATTCGGATCTTCCCATAAGTGTCTGTTGTTTTATAAACGGCATTTGGGTGGAAGTTTAGTTCCTTGTGGGTTGTAAAATTACAGGTTTAGTAAAAGTTTTAGGTTATTTTTCTCTAAGAATTATGAGACTGTACACACAGCTTTATAAAACATGATACATTTTAAACGTTTATTTGAAAACTCTCTGAATTATATAAAAATAGCTATTTTGGGGCCTGATTTAGATAATTACTAAGTCGTGAATAAATCTGCACAACTGGCATGTATTTAGAAGCAGCTTGAAAAGGATAGTGGAAAGAACACATTCCCAGGTTACTCCTGGCCTGAGGTCCTGTGAGCACCTGCCTTTCTGTGGAGCACTCAGGGGTCCTGTGCTGTTTACCTGGGACCCGGGAACCTGGTGCCTGCAGGCTCCTCTGACCAGCCCATGTGTGCTGGCTCTGTCCTTTCTCTGAGCACAACCCGTGAGCGCTTTTTCTGTCAGACTCCTCATCAACATTCTACCCTGCAAAGCTTTATCTTTTCTTTTATCTTTCTTTCTTCCTCTTCTCTTTTCTTTTCCTTCCTTCCTTCCTTCCTTCCTTTCTTCCTTCCTTCCCTCCCTCCCTCCTCTCTCTCTCTCTTTCTTTCTTTTTCTTTCTTCTTTCTTTCTTCTTTCCTTCTTTCTTTTTCTTTCTTTCTTCTTTCCTTTTTTCTCTTTCCTTCCTTCTTTCCTTTTTCCTTCCTTCCTTCCTTCTCTCTCTTTCTCTCTCTCTCTTCCTCCCTCCCTCCCTCCCTTCCTTCCTTCTCCTTTTTTTTTTTTGTAGCAAGGAGCAACCTCTCCTGGAATGCTGGGAACTTTCTGATTCTCCACGGCATTCATAGATGGGCACAATTATTCCCACATATTTGGGCACATTCGTTGCCACTTTCCAAAGTTTGCAGAGGAATGTGGAAAACCTTTGGGCTGTCAGTACAAAGATGCTCCTGTCCTAAACTTAATAAAGGTATCCCAGGAAAATGTGCTACTTAGCAGGAGGAAAGAGACAAACTTTCATCTTATGGACCATAGAGCAAAGGTGATTTGGATTCAGCAGAGAAGAATAAGAACAATAGTCACCAATAAACAGAGTTTATGGCTGGGTTGAAGGACAGCTGCCCACTTCCGCTACCGGCCCACCTGCAACTCATGTAAAATATTGAGCACTCCGGAATTCCCTTTCTTTATCATGAAAACCAGCACAGGAATCCTCATTATGGCCTGTGCTCAGCTCCAAACACTCACGCTCTGGGGAGCTGACATTATTATCCCACTGTGCAGATGGACAAACTGGGGTTTGCAGGGGTCGAGTGACTGGCTGAAAGCAACGCAGCTGGTGGCAGAAAAACTCGACTCACGCCCAGGCTTTTGTGGGTGTCCTTCCCTCCCCACAGCAGTGGAGTCCCTCAGCCACCCTTGGTGTGGGCAGTTGGCGGCTCCCATCTCAGGAGGGGTCAGTGGTCACTCTTTCTGAAGGGGACAGCAGGTCACTTCATTCCTCCTAAGCTTGGGGTAGGGCTGAAAGCATGGGCTTCCTCCTGACCTAAGAGGGTTCAAACGTTGAGACTTTATTATTTTTAAATCTCTATAGAAGCAGAAATGATTTCTTCATTAGAGATAACCCTGTGCTGTGGGTAGAACTGTGCCCCTCCATAAAGGTGTGTTGAGTCCTTACCCCACAGATGTGAAGGTGACAGGATTTGGGAACGGGGTTGTAGCTAGGTCAGGCTGGTCTACGGTGGACCCTGACCCCGATGACTGAGGTTCTTATAAGAGGAGATGACTCAGAGTCACTGTCTCACCCTCCCCATCCTTGGTATTATGACTGCTGCCCACTCCCAAGTCACTGATTGTCAAAGAGGACAGACGGCCGAGGAGCCCCTGCTCAGAACATGAGGTGACAGGGAGGCTCAGAGAGGACAGGGAGGCTCAGAGAGGATGCCATCTGCTCATTGCGGCCTCTGCCCACACCTGCTCAGAACACGAGGAGACAGGGAGGCTCAGAGAGGAGGCCGTCTGCTCACTGTGGCCTCTGCCCACGCCTGCTCAGCACACGAGGCGAAAGGGAGGCTCAGAGAGGAGGCTACCTGCTCACCGCGGCCTCTGCCCACACCTGCTCAGAACGGGAGGAGACAGGGAGGCTCAGAGAAGACGCCGTCTGCTCGCCATGGCCTCTGCCCACACCTGCTCAGAACACGAGGCGAAAGGGAGGCTCAGAGAGGACAGGGAGGCTCAGAGAGGATGCTGTCTGCTCGCCGCGGTCTCTGCCCACACCTGCTCAGAACATGAGGAGACAGGGAGGCTCAGAGAGGACTCAGTCTGCTCGCCGCAGCCTCTGCCCACAGGTGTGCTGCCCACTGCAGGAGTTTGCAAGTCCCGGCTGAGGAGCCCGGGGCGCCCTGGTGTGGCTACAGGGGCAACTGCTGCTTTGGGGGTCTCTGGGGGCCTCCCCGATGCCAGAGTGACTTTAGGAGGGCCCCAGGGAATTGTGAGAACCTGAGGGGACCTCAGGAGACATAGCAATCCAAGGCGCTGGCTTGTGCGTCCCACCATGCTCCACAGTGCAGAGGCAGAGGGGGGAGCCCCAGCCCTGGACAGAGGGAGCAGCTGTGCCAACAAAGCCTCTCGCTCCACCCAGAGCCAAGGCCAGGCTGTCGGCTGTGTCTGGCAGCTGAGATGGGCGCCTGGCCCTGCCTCCCCTCCTGCGTGAGTCTTCCAGGGCCCTCTGGGTGGTCCCACCCGTGGCAGGTGACAAGGCTGGATGAGAAATGCTCGCTGGGGATTTGACGGTGGAAACTTCCATTGCCACTGTTTTTTCTTCCCTTTGGTGTTTGTTTATTTTCATAAATGTTTCTCCTAAGGAAGAAAAATAGATAGAAAAGGCGGGAGGGTGTGGGGATGGGGCGTGAGGGAGCTGGGTTGAAGTGGACTTGTAGGTTGGCCAGAAACGTCGGGAACCGAGAAGTTCTGGGGTCAGCGTCGGGCTGCTGAGCTCTAAATTGTGCGTGTGCGAGCAGAAGCGTAAGTCAACAGCAGCTCAGGAGCACGAGGCTGGAGAGAGAAAACCCCACAGGCCTCAGGAGCACGAGGCTGGAGAGAGGAAACCCCACAGGCCTCAGGAGCACGAGGCTGGAGAGAGGAAACCCCACAGGCCTCAGGAGCACGGGGCTGGAGAGAGGAAACCCCACAGGCCTCAGGAGCACGGGGCTGGAGAGAGAAAACCCCACAGGCTTCAGGAACCCGATGCTGGAGAGAGAAAACCCCATGGGCCTGCAGGGACTACCCCCAAGGTCAGGAGCACGAGGCTGGAGAGAGGAAACCCCACAGGCCTCAGGAGCATGAGGCTGGAGAGAGGAAACCCCACAGGCCTGCAGGGAGTTCCCCCATGGTCTGGGAGCTGAACGTGCTCCACCCCTGACTGGCCCAGGAGGCCTGGGAGGATCCTGGGTGGCCTCATCCTCTCTCTTTTGATGAAAATGTAGGTTCTGTCTTCTGTTTGTGCCATGCCATCATTCAGAGGAGCTTTCGAAAGCAGTGGGAGCAGACTCCACTGGTTCGAGCCTGGGCTGAGAGCCACCGCCGGACAGAGCCTCCTGTGCGGAAAGTCCTTCGCGAGGATGATCCTTCTAGTGTCAGATTGGCTTCTCCTTCCAGCTGCCAAGACAAGAAGTCCTGCATTTGGAGAAAACCTGACCTTGGCGGAGTCAAGGACACTGTCAGAGGACGCCAGATGCTTCAAGGGTCCGTGGCCAGCTCTCAGGCGAAGCTTGCACAGGCCAGGCCGCCCCCATTGCTTTCGAAAGTGCCTCTGAATAATGTGACACCAATGGAAGACAGCGTCTGTGATTGAGGGGAGCCTTAAGGGCCTTGTCCTTTGCCCTGAAGTCAGTGGAGTGAGTGGAAGCTAAGGGGGCAGCTCCAGAAGCTTCCACCCCTTTCGGGAAGCCCACACCATCTCCCGCTAGGTTGTCTGGACTGAGAGCTGTCCCTGGGCCCCTGCATCCTTTCTGACAGCATCATTGAAGACAGTTCGGGGTTTGGGCTGACCTCTGCACCTTGGCTAGAAGCATCTTTGTGCCTGCAGTCTCTCTGGCACACCCCGGCCGCTTTGCTGAGGGTGGGGCGGGCTTCGAAACGCAGCCGGGAGCTGATGGGCAGAGTGAGAGGCGTCGGGCACCCAGCCACCTGGGGCGCCGCGGTACTCAGTCTGTGCGCGTCAGCAACGGAAGAGCCTTCCAAGCCACAGCCTTGCCTCTTTCCAGCCCTGAGTTCCCATTCCAGCTGCCATTGCTTTGCTGAAAATAACACATTTAATCATCTGTCATAATTACAAGAGTCCGGATGACACGGATGCAGGCCCACCTCCCCGCTGCCAAGCCTGCTGTAATCCAGCCAGCATGGGCCGTGCTGCCCAAGTCGCACTGCGGGCCCTGGTCTGCTGAAAGATCAGATGTGACCGCAGAGTTGTTCATCGCAAATGATTGATCTGCTTGCAACAAAACTAATAATTACACAGCTCTTCATTTCCATTTGTCTTTGGAAGGTGGAATCTCTCTCCCCTTGAAGGGCTCTGCCATGCAGGCATACATTGGTGAACCGTGAGCCTGCTGAGCCCGCTGAGCCCGACAGGTGCAGCCCGCGCCCTTCCTCCTTGGATTTTTGGCGTTGCAGGTTATTCCCCAAAAATAATCAAATGGTAACATGTTGCTTTCATTTTCATTGTATTCCCCAAAGTCGATCAAACGGTAATGTGTTGCTTTCATTTCCACTGTGTTTGGTTTTAGCTTATTGCTTTAATCCCTTCACTTTCAGGACATCTTCATGTGTTAAATTCCTGCCCTTATCCTCATTTGCATATGTCAGTTTCTTCTATTCGTTCTCAACTATTAAGCCTACCTTAGGTTATGATTTTATTACAGGATAACCAACAACTATGTCCAAACTAGAGCATTTATTTGACTATTAGATGTTTATTTTTATTTTTACGTATTTATTTTTTTGAGACAGAATCTCGCTCTGTTGCCTAGGCTGGAGTGCAATGGTGAGATCTTGGCTCACTGCCACCTCTGCCTCCCAGGTTCAAGTGATTCTCCTGCCTCTGCCTCCGAGTAGCTGGGATTACAGGCACCCACCACCACGCCTGGCTAATTTTTGTATTTTTAGTAGAGACTGGGTTTCGCCATGTTGGCCAGGCTGGTCTCGAACTCCTGACCTCAAGTGATTCTCCTGCCTTGGCCTCCCAAAGTGCTGGGATTACAGGTGTGAACCACCATGCCCAGCCTTGACTATTAGATGTATCTAATCACTGCCCAGTGAGTTTTTCTTCACTCCCTTCCCCTTAGTTTTGATGTCTCAAAATGTTGGTGCATCAGAAATGAAATTTAAAAGCCTCACTCCTTATCAAGAAGAAAACCTCTTTTAGCAAAGGTTTTTCATTTCTAAGACTAAGATTATTATTGTTTAGTCCATGATCTGAAAAGGATTTTATTACCTAAAAGAAGGCTGAAAGAGGAGTGCTGTGGCCTGGTGCTGGGATTTGGCCTGTCCCTGGGCAGGGGGCGCTAGACACAAACGCACCTCAGTTTCTCCTCTAAGGACAGCTGGGTCGGTGAGTCCACCCCAAGCTCTCCCTTCTGCCTCTGACACTCGGCAGTCCTTCGCTAGATTCCAGAACAACTATAGACTGGTAGGTGGTTCTCTGGCTCCAGCCCAGTGGCCCCTAGTGTGCAAGTCTCCTGAGGATTTGCCATAACATCCCACAGACCAGGCAGCATAAACAACAGAAGCTAACTTTCTCAGCTCTCCATGCAGAAGTCCAAGATCAAGGCGTGGGCAGGGTGGCTCCTCCCGAGGCCTCTCTCCTGGGCTTTCAGACGTCTCTCCCTCCCTGGTTCATCTCTCGGCTGTCCTCTGTGTCCGTGTCCTCCTCTCCTCTTCTCGTGAGGACAGGAGTCCTGTAGGGTTAGCGTCCTAAAGATTTCGTATCAACCTGGTTGTTTGCAAAGATCGCATTTCTGGATACTGCATGTGCGCCCGTACTTACGGGGGTCAGGACTTCAGCATCTTCGGGGGGACACAGTCCAGCCTGTGACACCTTCTTGTTGGGTTGTCGGGAGTTTGAGGACCTTTATGAAACCAGCACTTGGCTCTTCCCCAGAATCCACAATTCTAACCCTTACTTTCTTCGAGCCAACATGGCCCCAGGATTTTAGTGTGATCTGAGAGGTGCTGGTGCTGACATCAGTACCCCCACGTGTTCTTCTGCGCCTGACTGTGGGGCAGGTGGTTCTCATCGCGTCCAAGCCCGTCGGCTCAGCTCAGGTAACCTGGCTGCCAGGGAGTGTGCTGCACCTGATTTACAGCCGGTTCTCGACACATCTTGCAGCCCTCACTGTTGTTTTAGGACTAAGTCAGATATTCGCCCTCCAGATGGAGACCCCGGGGGCCCTTCATCTGCAGGCTAGAGTGCCCTCGATTCTGCCTCTGTTCCTGCTCCCACTCAGCTCCATGGTCCTGGGGCCTCCTTTTCTGGGGAATCCGTCCAGTTGGAAGTAACAGCTGCTTTCTCCTCCCTCAGCACTTGGCTCCATCTACCCTGGCTTCCTCCAGGTGGGACTGGCCTCTTGTACAGAACCCAGCAATGCAGGCAGCCAGGAGGAGGGGCCAGGCAGGCGCCGGCAGAGGTGAGGAGAATCCACAACGGGGCTCTTGCCTGAGCCAATGCTGGCCTTGGAGTCCTGGGGACCCCTGGGTGTTGAATGCCTCCTGGGGTGTGCATCAAGGAAGGGCTTTGCTGGCCAGGACCAACCTCAGAAGATTTCATGTTGAAGGAAGAGTCAAGCAACTTCCTGAAAGAGAACCCCTTGGCAAACTAGGGAGGAAGGAAAGGAGGAGAACGGGCTCAGAGACAGAGACAGGGCTGAGCACGGAGGGAAGGAGAATGGGTTCGGAGAAAGCTGAGCAGGGAGGAAGCAGGGGTGGTGGTTCTCCCAGGGGAGGCTTTGCAAGTGGAAGGACGGGGGTGGCCACTGGGTGATCATTTGGCAACTTCTCTCACAGGGGTAGCTTCCTGACACAGCTGAGTGCTTCTGTGATTTGAGAGGATACCAGAGTTTTGTATCTGAAAATATTTATGCTCATCATTATGCATAGGTTTTAATTATTGGGCAATTTTCATAAAACCCTTTCATGTGCAAAAAATTAATTAGCAACTATTTTTAAATGAGAAGTGTCACCCCCTCCCTGCCCCCACTCAGGCTACTTGGCCCCTTCTAAATTAAATACTAGAACTTAGAACTGCACAGAGAAAATAAATCTAATTTAGATATGAAGTATGAGTTACATACTGAAGGGGAACAGAGCCAGGCTCTGGGACAGCAGCTCAATACGTCCACTGAGCACCAGCTGTATATGCTATGGCTTTCTGCATGTTCCTTAGAATTTACCAAGCACTTTCTCATGGGTTATTTCAAGTTGGGAGTTGTTATCCCCACTTACACAGGGATGAAAAGGCTCTGGGAGGTGGAAAGAATGACCAATTCATACCAGGCATGTAGGGGAGTCAGGACTGCATCATTAGACCATTAGACCTGTAGATGGTAAACCCTTAGACGTTAGACCATTAGGCATTAGACCATTACACATTAGACTTCAGACGCTTAGATGTTAGATGTTATTAATAGATCATTAGACTTTAGACTGTCAGACATTAAACCCTTAGACATTAGACCATTAGGTGTTAGACGGTTAGATGTTAGACCATTAGACTGATATTACACCTTAGACATTAGATCATTAGAAGTTAGACCTTTAGACTTTAAATCCTTTGACGTTAGACTGTTAGATGTTAAACTGTTAGACCGTTAGATGTTAGACTGTTAAACATTAGACTGTTTGACCCTTAGACCATTAGATGTTTGACTGTTAGACCTTAGACCATTAGACGTTAGACTCTTAGATGTTAAACCCTTAGACGTTAGACGGGTAGACGTTAGATGTTAGATGTTAGACCATCAGACGTTAGACCATTCATTAGACCATCAGATGTTAGACTCTTAGATGTTAAACCCTTAGTCATTAGATGGGTAGACGTTAGATGTTAGATGTTAGACCATCAGACATGACTGTTCATTAGACCATCAGACATGAGACTGTTCATTAGACTATCAGACGTTAGACCGTTCATTAGACCATCAGATGTTAGACTCTTAGATGTTAAACTCTTAGATGTTAGACAGGTAGAAGTTAGATGTTAGACCTTAGACCATCAGACGTTAGATGCTTACATGTTAAACCCTTAGTCATTAGACGGGTAGACGTTAGATGTTAGATGTTAGACCATCAGACATGAGATTATTCATTATACCATCAGACGTTAGACCATTCATTAGACCATCAGACATGAAACTGTTCATTAGACCATCAGATGTGAGACCGTTCATTAGACCATCAGATGTTAGACCGGCCACATTCCCCATGTATGTCATCACATCTAGCAGCTGGGCCACCTGAAGCAGAGAATTTTGGAGAAAGCAAAGCTAATACTTGATGGGGCTCCATCCTGACAATGGTGGTACCTGTGAGGGTTACTGGGTTTTCACAGGGAGGGAGTCCCTTCCCCAGGTCCTCCCTGATCATTCGTCCTGGGTTTCCAGCTAAGAAGGCACTTTCAGTTTGGATGTTTCTCTGTCATCTAAAATCCCTTGTGTCCAAAAGCCAGCTCCAGATCTCCTCTGCTGAAGTGGGTTCCCGCTGCCGAGAGTACTTGGGAAGACAGTGTCTGGAAGGCATGTGGGGCAGCCGCTCATTGTCATGATCCGTGAATCAGTGACTCCAAAGAGTGTTCTGTGGACTCTGATGATGTTTGGAAAGTTTTACGTGAAGACAGAGAACGTCATGGAATGAAACTGAGCAGGACTGAGAACCGTGATTATTTCTTAGGTTGAGGCTGATGGGCTTTTCAATTCTTTCATTATTAAGCTCACCCAGTTTTGAATCTCAATCAAAATGCTATTTAAATTCCAAAACAGAGACTCCCTTGCAGCAAAGAGTGATGATGTGGTAGTTAAACAGAAAGGACCATTATGTGTCTCGTGGAAACGTGTAGGTGAAATTCATGACACTGGGAATGTCTCAGCAAGTGTGGTAATTTAAAAAGTCTGACTGGATCAGGGGACTAGGGTGTGTAGGGTGTGTATGTTTTTACTCAACCCCCATGTATTTAACATAAACCATATCCCCGATTCTGCCCTATGTGGAAATCCTACCTGGACCAGACTCTGGGCTGCACAGCTCTGATTGGTGAGAGATTCTTTGGAAATATTTCTTCACCGTGGAACATGGCCTGTTGGGATGGCGTTCTCTGCTGGCTGCGCACTGGTCAGTCCCCTGGTTAAAGGCAGAAGATGACCGTGTTCCAGCTGATGTCCTCTGTGTTCGGGAAGCTGGGTGGCCAGCAGGTTTCACTCCCCATGCAACTTCACAAGCACCAGGAAGTGCAGGCCACCCTTCGCCCTCCTTTCCCTAGCGGGGAGGTGGGGGTGGGGTGCCCTGGTGAGCAGGAAGTGCAGGCTGCCCTTCGCCCTTCTTTCCCTAGTGGGGAGGTGGGGGATGGGGGGCCCTGGTGAGTGTTTCTCAAGTCCACACACAGCCGGGCTGGCGAGTCACTTAGGTGGCAGACACGAGGGGCTCACCTTTCTGCTCCATGTTCTCGGGAAAGACAAGCTCACTTCTTTTAGAAGTTCATTAAAAGCTAGCCGCTCTTAGGGATTTTACTGCAAACCAATCAACCTAGACCTGTACATGAGTCTGACCTCACCCTGATTCACCGGCCTTCCATTTTGACTTTACCCATCAGTGATAGGAATTGATTTCAAAGGCTCTAAAATTAGCTCTGTACATCAAAGAATTGTTATAGTGTGTCTCTGCAACGTTGCTGTTTTACAGGTGCTGCTGGGCCGCCTGCTCTTAATTGGAAAAGCACAGCCCTGGGTGCAGGAGGCAGAGACTGCATCAAGCCTCTGGAAGGAAAGGCCCTGGGTAGAGGCTGGAGCACAGGGCTCTGAGCCAAACAAGGCTGCTCTACTGCCGAGGCCTGATGTAATTTCACTTGCTGACTGGCACTGCAGTGAGATAACCCTTTAATGAAGGAAGAGTACCCAGTTCCTGGTCAAAGTTTGCAATGTAATGCCCAGCATCCCCAAGGCTTCCTGCGATGACTGCCCCCCTCCCACCTGAAGAGTGCCATGCGGGCAGGGCTGGCAGCTCCTCTCCATCCCCACTGCTGACCACGAGGCCTGAAAATTAGCCACTTTTGTTTTAATTTATACTATACTTCATCTGAAGGGTCACAAATATGCTTCATTTTTTTTAAGTGCCTAATATTACTTTTACTGAGATAGTGTCTACACCAGCCCGCAGAAAGGTAATGGTTATTGAGGTAACAAGAAGAACGAACCAGACCCTCCACTTTCTCTTCAGTCGTGGGGAACGTGATGATTTCCAAGCTGTCTCATTTCCCCAATCCTCCCTTTCTTTCTGATTGTGTGGGTTGCGGCTTTGCGTACGCCATTCTGAAAAAATCAGGTCATTGCAGTCAAATAATTGGTCAAGTCAGTGAACAACAGAAAGTCAATCACATTGGCTGTTTGACTGAATCGACTGGGCTATTTGTCTCTCACAGACGTGACTGGATCACTACCAGAATAATCTGAGGGTGCCCTTTGCTGGTACCTAGGAAGAATGGCCTGGGTCCCATGGAGACATCTATCTCTGCCATGGGCTCCATCTCTGATGCCTTTGGAGTTCTCTTCATAGCCCTCAGCTTTGCTGGGTTTGGGTCTGAAGGAGCAGGAACCCCTCAGAGGGCTGTGCTCATGAAGCTCAGGACTCTGCGTTTTCTGCACCTTGTGGTGACAGCCTGCAGAGGCAGGTGTTGCTTCTCCGAGGGCCAGTAGCACCAGGGCTGACCCCAGGCCCAAGCCCTTAGCAGCTGGGCTAGAGGGGAGGGGGCCCTTCCTTCTCTCCAGCATGCTGGCTCTTCTTCTCTCTGCTGCCATAAGCTTGAGGGGAGTTTCACTCTGTCACCCAGGCTGGAGTGCAGTGGCGTGATCTCGGCTCACTGCAACCTCCGGCTCCTGGGTTCAAGTGATTCTGTTGCCTCAGCCTCCCAAGTAGCTGGGACCACAGGCATGTGCCACCATGCCCAGCTACTTATTTTTTTTTTTTTGTATTTTTAGTGGAGATGGGGTTTCACCATGTTATCCAGGATTGTCTTGATCTCCTGACCTCATGATCTGCCTGTCTTGACCTCCCGAAGTACTGGAATTACAGGCATGAGCCACTGTGCCTGGCCCACACACTTTTAAACAACCAGATCTCATGAGAACTCTATCACAAGAACAGCACCAAAGGGGGAAATCTGTCCCCATGATTCAATCACCTCCCACCAGGCTTCTCCAACACTGGGGATTATAATTTGACATGAGATTTGGGCAGAGACAGAGATTCAAACCATATCATGCTGCCCCTGACTCTTCCTAAAGCTCATGTCTTTCTCACATTGCAAAATATAATGATCTCTTCTCAACAGTTCCCTAAAGTCTTAACTCATTTCAACATTAACTCAAAAGTCCAAGTCCAAAGTCTCATCTGAGACAAGGCAAGTCCCTTTTGCTTATGAGCCTGTAAAATAAAAAACAAGCTAGTTACTTCCAAGAAACAATGGAGGCACATGTGTTGGGTAAATATTCTCATTCCAAAAGGCAGAAATCAGCCAAAACAAAAGGGCTACTGGCTCCGTGCAAGTCTGAAACCCAGAAGAGCAGTCGTTAAATCTTAAACCTCCAAAATAATCTACTTTGACTCCATATGCCACATCCAGGGCACACTGGGGCAAGAGATGGGCTCCCAAGGCCTTGGACAGCTCCACCCCTGTGACTTTGCAGGACACAGCCCCCTTGCTGCTTTCATGAGCTGGCTATGAGTGCCTGTGCCTTTTCCAGGCACACAGTGCAAGCTGTCATTGGATCTAGCATGCTGGGGTCTGAAAGACAGTGGCCCTCTTCTCACAGCTCCACTAAGCACTGCCCCAGTGGAAACTCTGTGTGGGGGCTCCAATCCCACATTTCCCCTCTGCATTCCCCTAGCAGATGTTCTCCACGAGGGCTTTGCCCCTGCAGCAGGCTTCTGCCTGGACATCCAGGCCTTTCCATATATCCTGTGAAATCTAGGTGGTGGCTCCCAAACCTCAACTCTTGCACTTTGCACAATGGCAGGCTTAATATCATGTGGACGCTGCCAAGGCTTACAACTTGCACCCTCTTAAGCAGTGGTCTGAGCTAAACCTGGTCTGCTTTTAGCCACAGGTAGAGCTGGAGTGACTGAGATACAGGAAGTAGTGTCCCGAGGCTGTGCAGGGCAGCAGGGCCCTGGTCCTGGCTCAGGAAACCACTTTTCTCTCCTATGCCTCTGGGACTGTGATGGGTAGGGTACTCTGGAGATCTCTGGAATGGCTTCAAGGCATTTTTTCCCATTGTCTTGGCAATTAACATTTGGCTTCTCTTTACATATGCAAATTTCTTCAGCCTGCTTGAATTCCTCCCTAGAAAATTGATTTTTCTCTTCCAACACATTTCTGGGCTGCAAATTTTCCAAACTTGTAGGCTCTGCTCCCCTGTGAAACATAAGTTCCTGTTTTAGGTTATTTTTGCTCATGCATATGAACATAGGCTATTAGAAGCATCCAGGCCACATGTTGAAAGCTTTGCTGATTAGGAATTTCTTCAGCCAGATACCCTAAATCAACACTCTCAAGTTCAAAGTTCACAGATTCCTAGGGCAAGGTCACAAAGCAGCTAATTGCTTTGCTAAGAAACAAAAGTGACCTTTGTTCCACTTCCCAATAAGTTCCTCATGTCCATCTGAGACCTCCTCAGCCTGAACTTCATTGTCCATATCACTCTCAGCATTTTGGTCCAACCATTCAACAAGTCTCTAGGGAGTTCCAAACTTTCATCTCCCTGTTTTCTTCCGAGCCTTTCACACTCTTCCAGACTCTGCCAGTTACCCAGTTCCAAAGCTGGTTCCACATTTTCAGGTATCTTTATAGCAATGCTCCACTCTTTGGCACCTATGTTCTGTATTAATCCATTCTCTCACTGCCACAAAAAATACCTGAAACTGGGTAATTTTTAAAGAAAATAAGCTTAATTGGCTCACAGTTCTCCAGGCTGTATGGAAAGCATGGTGCTACATCTGCTTGGGGAGGTCTCAGGAAACTTTCAATTATGGTGGAAGGTGAAGGGGAGGCAGACATCTTACATGGCCTGAGCAGGATGAAGGGGGGTGGGGAGTGCCACGCACTTTAGCCATGGATCTTGTGAGAACTCACTCACTGTCATGAGAACAGCAAGGGGGAAATCCGCTCCCATGCTCCAATCATCTCCCAACATATCCCACTTCCAACACTGAAGATTACAATTTGACATGAGATTTGTGCAGGGACGCAGGTCTGAAGCCTCCATGCCCCACACCCTTTGCTTTCATGTGATTCTCACAGGATGTGCATATGTAGGCTCAGCCAGAGTAACAGGGCTGCCTGCACCATGCCCCATGCCAACTCCTTGCTGGTGTGGCTTTCTAGCAATGCTACAACAAATCACTGCAGCTTAGTGGCTTAAAACCACACACATTTATTCTTCACAGTTCTGGGGTTAATGTTCAATAGGGGTCTCATTGGCTAAAAGTGGGGTGTCTGCAGGGTGAGTTCCTTCTGGGTGCCCTAGGGCAGAAACCATCCCTGAGTTTCCCAGCTTTGGTGGCTGCCCACACCCCTTGGCTCCTGGTCCCTCTTCCACCTCCAAAGTCAGCAGCACTGGCTGGCCTCTCACACAGCAACTTCCTGCCACCAGCTCTCTGGCCTTTCTCCCCGACATTGCAGAACCTCTGCCATTATGTCAGAGCACCTGGTCCATCCTGGGAAACCTCTTTAGTTAAACTTAGTTGATGGGCAAGCTCACTCCTGCTCACCTGTAACCATTCACAGCTTCCCAGGACTGGGACAGGGACATCTCCGGAGACTGCCGTCCCCCTCACCTGTAACCATTCACAGCTTCCCAGGACTGGGACAGGGACATCTCCGGAGACTGCCGTCCCCCTCACCTGTAACCATTCACAGCTTCCCAGGACTGGGACAGGGACATCTCCGGAGACTGCCGTCCCCCTCACCTGTAACCATTCACAGCTTCCCAGGACTGGGACAGGGACATCTCTGGAGACTGCCGTCCTCCTCACCTGTAACCATTCACAGCTTCCCAGGACTGGGACAAGGACATCTCTGGAGACTGCTGTTCCCCGATACTTGCTTTACAACTTGGTAAGTCAGCCAGGCTTCCCATCGTGCAGACACACTGCTGGCCAATGTCCCTTCTCATCTCCTACCCAGCACAGGTAGGCAGGGGTGTGGGGGGAGGGGGACCCTCTACAGAGGCTCCGCCACCACTCAGGGGCCCCACCACCACCCATGGGTCCTGCCACCACTCACGGGCCCCGCCACCACTCACGGGCCCCGCCACCACCCATGGGTCCTGCAACCACTCATGGGCCCCACCACCACTCACGGGCCCTGCCACCACCCATGGGTCCTGCCACCACTCACATGGGCCTCACCACCACCCACGGGTCCTGCCACCACTTACGGGCCCTGCCACCACTCACGGGCCCTGCCACCACCCACGGGTCCTGCCGCCACTCACGGGCTCTGCCACCACCCACGGGCCCCTTCACTACTCATGGGTTCCGCCACCTCTTACGGGTCCACACTCACAGGCGCCACTTCCTGATGCTGTTGCTCCATGAGGTCAGTCACTCCATGTGATTCACAGTGGGAAGAATGGGGGGTGTCAAGACTAGGCAATGTGTGCAGGGCCACCCAATTAGAAATGGCAGGAATTTGGATTTAAACACGGTTGTTTCTGACTTCAAATCTGACAATTTGCACAACACACATTTAAGAAACATTTGTATGTTTGCAGGAATTTGAGCTCTGAAGCCCGCAAAAGAATGAGTCCTTGCTGATGGGACACTGGCAGTGGCCTCCAGGGAGTGGCCTGTGACTGAGGTCCCTTGATCTGCTTGTGGATCTGCCGCTACATCTTTGGAGTTGAAACAGACACAATGGGAATCCACCCGTCAACTCTCATCATCAATACATTTCCGGTTCCCTAGAGGCCATGGCTGAAAATCTAGCTGGAAATCATTTTATGGATGAATGCCGGCTAACACCGTGGGGTTCCAGGTTCTGTGCTAGGTGGTCTGTCTAGGTGAGAGCACTAAATGTTCACTATGAGCCTGGAAGGAGGAGGACCCCATGACGCCCTTTCTGTAGATAAGCAAACTGCGCTAAAGGTGGTGATGACTCGCCCACTTCAGCCAGTGACCCGGCAGAAGGCACATCCCTGAACCAGGCTCCAGTGGGTGCGACTGTGCCTGAGGAGTTGTCTGGGGCTTTTTGTGGCAGCAGCCCAGGGATCAGGTGAGTACCCCTGCTGAGCTACCGATCAGGGAGTGGCAAGAAAAGTGTTTGCTGTATCTGAAATTGGTAAAACTATGAACTTTCCTACCTTATTTTCCACAAAAGTAGAAATTGAGGCAGGTATACACTGCATCAAATATTAAGTAGAAAGTAGAAAATTTACAACAACCAGACCTTAAAAAGTAAATGCTTACGTACAATGTGGCTCTGCCTTACAAGAGCTCACACTTAGTCATGTTGTTCAAACTCTATCAGCTTTAACTGTGACACTGCTTTCTTTTGGTCACTGAACATTTTTAATCTAGTCAAAAACTGCTTTGTTTTACAAAAATACTCAGAGTTGTTAGGTTTTATTTTATTAAAATCTTTATGACATCCATTCAAATGTAATTTTATAATTAATGACTATAATACATAGCTGCTATTTAATCAATATAGCTTAATGTTTCTGGTTTTAATTTGCAAACTACAAAAGAAGAGCTATTTTACTAACGTTTTATTTTGAGACAATTGTGCAGTTGTAAAAAAATAATAAAGAGAGATCCCATGCACCCTTCACTCAGTTTCCCCCAGTGGTAACATCCAGCATGATCACAGCTCAATGTCATGACCAGGAAGTGGCCACTGGCTCAATCCACTGACCTTATTCAGATCTCACCAGTTTTACATGCATTCGTGTGTGTGTGTGCACCTGTGCCTGTGTGTGTGTGCACATGTGGGTGTATTTTGTTCCCTGCAATTGGAGAGGGAAGGCTTTGTCATTCACCTATGATGTTAGCAGTAGGATGTTTTGGTAGGTGCTCTATTTCAAGTTGAGGAAATTTTCCTCTATTTTTAGCGAGAGTTTTTTTTTTTTTTCTCAACATAAATGGGTGTTGGATTTTGTCTAATTCTTTTTCTGCATCAATTGATCTGAGCGTATTATCACTTTTAGATTGTTATAGCGGATTTCTTTGGTAGAGTTAGAAATATTGAACAATCCTAGAATATCTGGAATCAATTTAATTTGGCAGCAGTGTATAAGTCTCTTAATATGTTATTGGAATCAATTTGCTAATATTAATAAGAGGACTTCTGCATCTAGATTCATTCGATACATTGGCCTATAGTTTTCCCTTTTGTCTGGGTTTGGTTCAGGGTAAAACTTGCCTCATAAAACATGTTGAAAAGTGTTTCCTCCTCTTCTATGTTCTGAGAGAGATGATAAAGAATCAATATTAAACATTTGGTAGAAGTCTTCATTGAAACAATCTAGGCCTTGGGATTTATTTTTTGAAAACTTTTAAGTTACAAATTCAATTTCTGTAATGCTTATAGAATCTTCAGATGATCTCATTTATTTTGGTAGCGTTTTGGTATATTTTGGGCTTTAATGGGCTGGTTTGTGTTTTCTAAGTTGCTGAATTTGTGACCGTAAAGTTGCCTGTAATATTCTCTTACCATTTCAATAGCTGCGGGAACTGCAGTGAAATCCCTGTTTCATTCTTGACACTGGTGATTTGTCTTCTGACTTTTTAAGTTTGTAAATATTTCGAGAAGTTATAATTATTGATTTGAAGAATCAGCCATTTTGTTTTATTGATTTTCTCTATTGCTTTCTTGTTCTCAATCTCAATGATTTTTGATTTTCTTTATTATTTCCCTTCTTCTACTTGCTTTAGTTAATTTTTCTCTTCTTTTTCTAGTTCTTGAGGTTGGAACTTAGATTATTGAGATTTTTATTCTTTAAAAAATGTAAGCAATTAGTGCTATGAATTTTCCTGTCAGCACGGCTTTAACTGTACCCCATATATTTGATATATTGGCCTTCTAATTTTCATTTGTTTTTTGGAGTATACACATTTAGGATTGTTATTTTTTTCCTGACTGATTCATCCTTTTCTCAAATGTAATATCCCTTCTTGGTTCTAATAATTTTTTTTTGCTTGGAAGTCTATTTTGTCTAATATTAATATAACCATTCCTGCTTTTAAAAAAATTGTTTGCTATATATATATATTCTTTTACTTTAAAAAACTACCTGATGCTATATTTGAAGTGAGTTTCTTATACACAGGCTACTGTTGGATAATGTTTTCTTTTCTTCTAACCTATTCTGCTAATCGCTGCCTTTTAATTGGTGTATTTAGATCATTTGCATTTATGGTAATTAGTGATGTATTCAGATGCAAGTTTTCCATTTTATTGCCTGTTTTCTGTTTGTAACCTCTGTTTCTCATTCTTCTGTTCTCTTTTCTTGTTTTCCTGTGAAAACTTTTAAAGCATACATCTTGAGGGGTTTGTCATGTTTTCAAACATATTGCCTTGTATAATTTAACTAGCAGTTGCTCCAGCTATTGTAATACACATGCGTAGGTTATCACAGCCTCCTGGTATTGATGCTTTACTACTTTGAGTAAGGTATAGCAAACTTACTTTCACTTAGATTCCATTATCCTCCCTACTTTTAAAAATATAATTGTCTTAAATATCTCCTGTACATGCAGTGATCAGCACATGACTTAGTGTTTTATAATTTTTGCTTCAACCATCAAATATGATTTAAGAAATTCACGGGAAGGCATTATACTATATTTACCAATTTTTTACCCATTTCAATGCTTACCCTTCCTATCTGAAGTTCCAACCATTCTTCTGTAATCTCTTCTTTTTTTTTTTTTTTTTTTCCGAGATGGAGTCTTTCTCTGTTGCCCAGGCTAGAATGCAATGGTGTGATCTCAGCTCACTGCAACCTCTGCCTCCCAGGTTTAAGCAATTCTCCTGCCTCAGCCTCCAGAGTAGCTGGGATTAGAGGTGCGTGCCATCATGCTTGGCTAATTTTTTTTTGTATTTTTAGTAGTGATGGGTTTCACCATGTTGGCCAGGCTGGTCTCAAACTCCTGACCTCGTGATCCACCCGCCTTGGCCTCCCAAAGTGCTGGGATTACAGGCGTGAGCCACTGTGCCCGACCTCTTCTTATTTATAGAAATTCCTTCATTATTTAAAGGTATTTTTGCTAGTGACAAGCTTTTCTTCCTCTTAAAATGTCTTTATTTTCCCTGATTCCTGAAAGAGATTTTTGAAGGATATAAAAATGTATGGTTGACAGATTTTTTCTTTGGTGCTTAGGAAATGTTCTGCTACTTCCTCTGGCTTTCTGCTTCCTTCTGTGGCTCTGGCTTTCTCCTTCTTTCTGTGGCTCTGAAGTGGTTTCAGATGAGAAATAACCTGTCATGGGAATTGTCATTTCCCTGTAAGTAAAGTGTCATTTCTGGCTGCTTTTAAGAATGTTTTCTCTGTTTTTAATTTTTAGAAGTTTAATTATTATGTATCTTGTCATGGATTTCTTTGGATTTGTCCAATTTTGGATTCACTCACTATCTTGAATTATTTATTTGTTTATTTATTTGCAGGATTTGGGAAGTCCATCCATGAAAGGTGTTTTAGTTCACGCTCTCTCCTTTCCTTCTGGGACTCTGAGGGCAAGAATGTCGGCTCTTCATTTCTCGTCCCGCAGGTCCCTGACGGCGCTTTTATTTCTTTCAATCTTTTTTCCCGTCCATTGTGCAGGTTGGGTATATGCTAGTGTTCTGTCCTCAAATACATATATTCTCTCCTCTGCCGTTTTCACTCCACTGAGCCAACTCAGCAAGTTTTACGTTTTAGTTATTGCCTTTTTTGATTCTATCATCTTCACTTGGTCCTTTTTTATAGGATCTATTTCTTTGCTGAGATTTTCCATTTTTCACTTGTTTCAAGAGAATGTATAATTGCTACGGAAGCATTTTATGATGGTTGCTTTAAAGTCTTTGTCAGACATTTCAGCACTGGTTCATTTCAGTGTTGGTGTCTGTCAATTGTCCTCTCATCTGCATTGTGACTTTTTTCTGCATCTTCCTGTGATGAGTGAGTTGATTGGATCCTGGCCATTTTGATGACATTTGAGACTCTGGATCCTACTTAGGAACGTGTCTTAGCAGGCAGTCTTCCTGGTGAGGTGTGGGTGGGTGCGTTCAGCTTTCTGCAAGCCCCCTCCTGAGTCCTGACACCTCTCTGGCCACTGTGGGGGACCAGCTCACACTGCCTCACTGCAGATGAGCTGAGGGGGGCATTCAGTTTCCTGTTGGTCCTACTGATGCCTTCCAGGGAAGGTGGGCAGCAACTCGTATAGCTCATGGCCTCTGAGCAGAGGTGCTGGCTCAGCTCCTGGCTGCAGGTGACACCAGGAAGGTGGATGGGAGGGCAAGCTGGGCACGGCAGTTCCAACCCCTACTCAGTGCCACGGTTGGGACGTCAGCGGAGTTGCACCATCACCTCTGAGAGTGCTGTGGAGGTTCAGTGTCTGGTCAGCCTGTGACGCTGTGGGGGGCCTGTGTGTTCCATGGGTGTTTGGTAGAGCAGAATGGGTGTTGCTGACACACCTTTCTGTTCTCTGGGGCCGCCCTTCTCCCCGGCCTTCTCCCTGTCATAGGAAATAGCCTTCTCCTGGATTTTCTTTCTGTGCCTATTGGCGGCTCCAGCTTGGAGGTTTCTGCAGTTCCTGGACTAGGACACGCTGGGGATCTGCCCCAGGCCACCCTCAAGCCCTGGGGACCTCATCTGTCCAGCTCCTCTCCTTATTCCAGAGTCTTCTCTCTGTATTTCCTGTGTTGTGCCCAGGGCTTTAGTCCTAACACTGGGCCTGAGAGGAAGGGCTGCTCCATCTTAGTGGAACCAGATGCTCAAAAAAAGCTATTTAGACATTTTAATTATTCTTAAATTAAAGATTTTGCCTCTTTGGATAATTTTTTCAGGGATGATGTCTGATTTCCTTAATCTGTGATTAACCTTTGATTGGAAACTGTTCTAAGTTTTCCAAAGACTGCCTCCCCTGTCTCCTTCACTAACTTACACCCTTACCACTTGCATGGGAAATGCAAGCTTGCTTTTTTCAAGGGGATCCTGAGCTTCTCTCAAGCGTTTGGAGTTTCCTATGCTTCTTGCAGATTTTCAGCCACAGAAAAGCTTTTACCATTCATTCTCAGGCCAGGGTCACACATTATCTTCTTAAAGGACAAAATGAGATTGTATGTATCTGGTTTAGAGGTTGTGATGAAGACTCTGTTGATTATCAGATGAAGGACAAGCAGTCCCTACGCCTTCCTCTTAGAAAATCACAGTTTGCTAAAATGTCTCCTGACAAAATCCTCTTCAAATATTACGTTTCTAGGCCCTTTTATAATCTCCATCTAAGTGGGTACCAGGATCCTATAACTGAGTCTCAAGGGTGCCCCCTGAGATTCCTGCTTGGTACCCTGACCCCTGTCCTGGTGCTTCTGTTGAATTTTCCACTTTAATGTCTCCAAATGTGAGGTTCCTGCCCAGCCTCTTCTCATTTTATGCAGTCATCCCACTCGGCCTAGAACTTTAGTGAAATTTCCATCTCCAGTCTCAAACTTTAGACCTGGTTGTTGTTTTTTTCACATCGCTTAACTGGATATCTCTATAACAGACCTAAAATTCTCCCTCCCTCATCCACACACATGCACATGGACACAGAACACACACATAGGCTCACATGCACACATACAGCACACACATGCACACACACAGGACACATATGCTCATGTGGACACACATGTACACATATACATCACACACATGCTCATGCACACACACGCACATGGACACAACACACATGCTCACATGGACACACATGCACATGGACACAGCACACACAAGCTCGTGTGCACACCCACACACCCATGGACACAGCACACACATGCTCACGTGCACCCACATGCACATGAACACACAGCACACACATGCTCACGTGCACACACATGCACATGGACACAACACACATGCTCACATGCACACACATGCACATGAACACACAGCACATGCATGCTCGTGTGCATACACACACAGCCATGGACACAGCACATATACATACAGAGATGCATAGCATTGGCATACACGAACATACACACCAATGCACACACTCACCAAACCTGTTTCTCCTTTTGTGTTTCTATCCAGATGAGGGCACCTCTGCTCACTGTGGCTTTGCACCACCTCATAGAAGCTTTGATGGTTCTCCAAGCTGCTTCTCTTCCTGGTTCCCACTCCTCTGCCCATGTTGTCTCCACGTGCTCTTCATCCCAGGGCTTCAGGAGCGGCTGCCGCCTCCCCCAAGTCACAGGCCCCGGCTCGAACTCACTGCTCCTTCAAACTCCACTGCATCACCTGGCCTTGGACATACTTCATCGGGCCGCCTGTCAGCACCACCATCTCCCTGCAAGGCCAGGAGCCCCGGGGTGAGGGCAGCGTGGCTCCACTCTGGAAGACCTCCCTGCCAGCCCAGTGGCGGGGGTGGGGGGTGGGGCTCGGGAACGGCCAAAAGGAAAAGGATGACATTCTTGGGCCGGAGGACTGTGAAACCCAGACTGCAAACAACTTCACTCCCCTCACGTGTGTCTTTGTGAGGGAGAAGCGCATTCATCGTATCTGTGAAGTGTCTAATGGAGGCCCCATTGTGCACTTCAGGGCCATCTGGAAGGGGCCTGACTCCGGCCCCTGCAAGGCGGTGGATGCCAGCGCTCAGACATGACGCAGTGCACAGGGCCCAAAGTTTTAAAGGCCATCGGTTTAAAAGTGGGGCTTTTAAGGGACTAAAAGCAAGTTTTCTCAAGACCTCTCAAAACAGAAGGCTCCAATGGTGGGAATAAACTCCTGAGGAGGAAGGAGGAGTTTAGGATGCAGCAGTCACATTCAGGACGCACGGCTTAGGGAGAGGAGGGGGAGAAGGGCTGGGTTCTCCCCCTGGCTTAGGGAGAGGAGGAAGAGAAGGGCTGGGTTCTCCCCCTGCCTTAGGGAGGGGAGGAGGAGAAGGGCCGGGTTCTCCCCCTGTTGATTCAGCTCGGTGTTTTCCACGGAGCGGTTTGGGGCTCGGGACACCAGGGAAACCATGATGGACACCTGCGTGCCAGGGCTGTTCTGGGACTCAGTGTGAGGCTGATGGCCTCATCCACCTGGGCAGGTGGGGCAAGGGGTGCCAGGGGTGAGCTTGCAGGGTTACACTGTCCAGGAGGTGTGGGAATATGAGGTTGTGGGGTGTGCAGATGTGGGGTGTGGGGGGTGTGGGAGGTGAGGGGGTATATGGGTATGGGGCATGGGATGTGGGGGTTTGAGGGGTGTGGGGTGTGGGGGTTTGAGGAGTGTGGGGGTGTGGGATGTGGGGGTGTGGGGTGTGGGATGTGGGGGTTTGAGGGGTGTGGGGGTGTGGGGTGTGGGGGTTTGAGGGGTGTGGGGTGTGGGATGTGGGGGTGTGGGGTGTGGGGGTTTGAGGGGTGTGGGGGTTTGAGGGGTGTGGGGTGTGGGATGTGGGGGTGTGGGGTGTGGGGGTGTGGGGTGTGGGGGTTTGAGGGGTGTGGGGGTGTGGGGTGTGGGGGTTTGGGGGTTTTGAGTGCGATCTTTCTTTGGAGGCCTGGAACACATTCTCTCCCACCTATGAATGTCTAGATGCTTGCTTAGAATCAGAATGACTTGGTATAATTTTATTTTAAATGCACTCCTTATGAGGGCAAAACCCGGGAAATCTATATTTATGTCTTATCAAACCAACTGGAAATGAGAAGTGCCTGGGCCCAGGTCAGTGGGTATCGTTCCATTCTCTATTTCTTTCCTAACAGGAGTCCTTGAACCAGGAGGGAAAGGTGAGTGGATGGCAGGGACGACGGGGCCCGGGGGAAGCAGCACGGGCTGTGTCCTAAGGATCCTCCACCTGCTCATGTCCAGGAGCACGAGAGACCTCTTGTTTATGCCTTCAGTTAACATCAGTCCATTGTATCGAAGGTCTCAGGCATTCCGTATAGGCTGCCATGGGCCCAGAACCTGTGAATCCAATCTCACTGGACGCCGGCCTCCGTACCGGCACCTCCCTGTGACCCGGGCCAGGTTGCTTCGCACCCAGCTCCTTGCAAAGTGTCTCAGGTTCCTCTCTGGCAGGGTGCAATCCAGACTCGGTTGATCTCCATAAGGCCGTCTAAACTTGGATGAAAAGGCCCTGCAATGCCAATTATTATTATTATTATTATTATTATTATTTAAAAAGTGAGTTACTCTGCCAGGAAGCTGCCCCAAGCTCACCCAGCTCAGATTATGACGCTAATTATAGTGATTATGAAGAAGAGAGCGCGTGATTGCTACCGACCCCCCTCGCTGCCCTGAGAACAAATGCGAGGGACAATGGACGGCGGCTCCGCCCTTGCCGGGCTGCCATGCGGGCGATCCCTGACCCGCTCCCTCCCGTTCATTAGCAGCGCTGGTCGCCAGGACGCGGCCTCTTCAATCATTGCCGACCACCCCCGGCTGCCATGCACGGAGACAGACGCCGCGCGGCCGGAGAGGCCGGAGGTCGAATGTGAACTGCGGCGTTGCCGGGTGCCCAGGCGAGGCGGTGGGGTCGCCGTCGGGGCAGGCCGCTGTGGCAGCCTCTGTGTGTGTAGGAAAGCCGCTCTGCATGCCGGGGTGCGGCACCTACTGTGTTTTTGTTTTCTCCTTGCAGCTGAATGCACTCAACAGTTTTCCATTTCTCTTTTCCTTTGGTGCAGGGGGTGGGCAGAGAGTGGTGGTTTCACTCGGTCAGTTTTCTGGAGCTGCAAGGCTAACATTCATAGCAAGCAAGGGGACCTCCTTCGCCTGGGTTCCCTCTGCCCCTGCTCCGAGCTTCCAGACTAATGTGGCCTGGAAGCTTGGGAGGTTTCTGCGTCTCCGCCACCTTCCAATTTGCAGTGGCCGGCCTCTGAAGACTGACAGGCCGCAGCGCCGGTGCCAGTGTAAATGAGCCCATTCATTTCCTGCCGCTGGCATATGGCATGTCATTGTCCGCAGTCACCGAGGCAGAAGTGATGCAATTTGTTGGCATGTCCTGCTGCAGAACAGACTCTCCATCCCACTGAGCCCCCAAGAAAACAACAGAAGCCACGAAAGGGCAGCCAAAACCTTCACAGCTTCATCAAGCACGCACATACGGCACAGGGACGCAGGCAGCACACTCTCCATTTCTGTGCCTTCAGTGGGAAGGGCAGAGGGATGGAGGAATCTCAGAGCTTCTCAGCTCTCACTGTAACCACAAATAATGCCCGAGTCACGGATACCGCAAACCATTCTCAAGATGTCGTTCAAAACAGTCTTCCTTTTGCACGTCTATTTCTACTTTTGTTTCTGACAAACTGAACCACAGCAGAGACTGAAACAAGCCAAGTGGTGAGAGTTTAAATGCATCCTCAGCAGCAGGACACAACATACATCCAGCACGGCTCCTGCGGGAAAGCGGGTGGCTGCTTGTGGAAGGGTCCAGGTGTTGTTTCATTAGGAAAAAAAAATGATGCATCATGTTTGCTGGGAAAAGTCAAAGCACAGCTGCATGGCCAGGGGGAGCTGCATGGCCAGGGGGAGCTGCATGGCCAGGGGGAGCTGCATGGCCAGGGTGTGGTCAGGTTCACACCCCCGGGAGCTGGGCTTTACAGAGCAGCCCCATCCAAAGGTTGCAGCCAATCTGAAAACAGGCAGAAGCATTTGGCTCCATACAGTCTGCATGTTCACAACTGTGATAAGGACATGCTAAAGTCCAGGCTGGTGGGATCGCTCCCATAATGGATTTGAGAGGACCACGTGATTCACATGTTGTGATGAAACATATGAGCCTTGCATCTGTGTGGTGTCACTGAAGCATGTTTACAGGAGAGGAGTCCAGCTGAGCCTGCCAGTGAAGACAAGCACTAGGTGCCCACACACAGTTAAACTATTACTGTGAGAAACAGGCCCACGTGAGTGCAGCAAGGTGACCTACAGGTGGCTGCAGACCTCTGTGATTTAGAAGCTGCCTGGATCTGCAGCATCCAAAGAATCTTTCTGATCTTCATGATCATTGATCTGAGAATGGTTCATGATCACTGTCTGAGAAGGTTCTAAAATTCCTTCTAGCTCCAAAATTCCTCAACTTGATCATGGATGGCTCCTCCTCAGCGTTCATCAAGTCAGGAGTTCAGTGGCCGTGAACAGGTGGTCCCTGTTAGGCTAGGCTCCCTCACACTGGGAAGGCTGGCTGGTCCATGGTCCTGCTGGGTGTCAGGTGTCATGTGAAATGCATGGGACAGAGTGAAATGCACTAAAGTGACAGTGGTCTTCATACTGAATCTCATAATTCAGGATATGAAATTGGGATCTGAGACCAAAGGCTGAGTGCAGCTTTGTTTGAGAAGCTAGTGCCTGAGCAGGGGCACAGACCATGGTTAGCTGCTTGTTAGAAAAGCCGGTCACTGAGAGGGGCACAGACCATGGTTAGCTGCTTTGCCTTGGAAGTTTCTTTAGGTTTGGGACCACTTCTCTCTACCTTTATTAATATTGCAGTGAATAGTGCGGCATGCAGAGAGGTACTGAACAAAGACATTTTGATGAATTCATATTGATGCATTTACCTGCAGAGAAAATGAAAATAAATTAATTATTAGCTTAAAAAAGAATGTAGGAATAGAACATTGCAACTTACATTCTTAGGAAATTTAAAAGTTTTCCATATTAGAAAACAAGTAAAAAACCCCTCTACATTTTGTGAAAGATATTCTATTTCACTTTCTTATTGTAAAAAAGGAAAATGATTGAAAAGGGAAGATAAATGAGCATGACACACATTCACTGCTTTTGAGTTGCAAGCACAGTTACAGATAGGAGAAAAAAGATACAAATACTTATTGATGACTCATTTGTGTTCTGAGCACTAGGAATACACCAATGAACAAAGGGACAAAAATTCCTGCCCTGGAAGAGCATAAAGTCTGGTGAGCAGGGGACTTCTGCTCCTGGCAAGACGGAGTAGCGGGACATTTCTGATCCCTCCCACCAAGCACAACCGAAACGCTGGACGTGATCCTTGCCTAAACCTGAAGGGCCCTGACGGTGGTTAGGAGGCCGTCTGGAGATCTCAGGACCAGGGAAGCCAGGGCGGTGGCTGCCTGCATTTTCCCATGGCCTCATACATCCCAGACTGGGAGGTGAAGAAAGTGGTGACCGGGGAACACCTACAGGCACAAACAAAACAGCAACAACAAAAACCAACCCAATAGAAGCCTCATCCTTCTAGGCAGAGGACCTAGAATGGGACAGCCCAGTAATACAGAAAACGTTCAGACAGTGACTGCCTCACCCCAGCCAAATGCCCTGAGCAGCTGGGGTCATTCACACCAGCAAAGGCTGGGGCCCCGACTTCCCCTCGTCAGGCTGTCATGGGGCAACCCGGCCCCCACCAGGTGGTCTCAGAGAAGGTCGCGTGGGGAGCTGCCATTTGGCCCCCCACTGGCCTGTGATGAACCCTGGCCTGGCGTGGTCACTGGGGAGCTGATGTCCACTCCCCTGGGAAGGAACAAGGTCCCTGCCCCTCCCTGCAGGGTAGTCTCCGAGGAGGCCAGGTTAGTCAGGACTTTCACCCGCCCAGGGGCAAGGAGTCCCCCAGTAGTGTCAGTGGGTGCCCCAGTGGAAGCTGGGACTACCACAGCTCCCCAGGCAGGGATGGGGCTGGGTGGTGGCTGGACTTCCCTTCCACCTGGCACAAGTTTGGAGTTAGCGTCTCCAGGTATCCACTAAGCAATGTCAGGAGAAGCCGACCACAACTAACGTTTTGAGTTAGGCCCAGAGTCTCAGAAGCAGCATGGTGTCCGAGCTTCAGACCCACGCTGCTCATTAGACCAAGAGCCCCAAGATCTCAAGCTGAATGAACAGAGACAACCCACAGAATCCACCCAGGGGGACACGTGGGACTGTCTCCAGGGTCTGATGAACTGCAGTGCACCCAAGCAGAGAGCACCACTTAGCAATGAAAGGCACAAACCCAACATGCTGGCCACCAGGATGGACTCAAACGAAACAGGCTGCGTGGAGGAAGCCATGTCTGCAAAACTGCCTTGAGGGAGCCACGCCCACCCGACGGAGCCACACCCACCGTGAGGGAGCCACGCCCACCACCAAGGAGCCACGCCCACTATCAGGGAGCCACACTCACCCCAGGGAGCCACGCCCCCGCGGGGGAGCCATGTCCGCAAGGCCTCGGTGTACACAGCCCTCCTGAGGGTGATGGAACTACAGGGGTGGAGGACAGATTCGGCGGTTCCAGGGGCTGGGGAGGAGGGGGTGGGAGGGAAGTGGCTGCGGCTACAAAAGGCCCGCAGGAGGGACCCTCGTGTGAGGGATGCGTCTGTGTCTGTCCTCGTGCTGAGATTTTACTGTCATTTTTCAAGTGGCGGAACTGGGTAAAGGACGCCAGGCATCTCTCTCTTCCTGACAATTGCATGCGTGTCTACAGTGATCTCAGCATACAAACTCCAGGCACCATGAAGGACATGGAACCCACGTGGGCCACGGCAGTGCCATCCTTGCTGTCACACGGTTTTCTGTTGGCCGAGGGGGCGGATAGGAAACAGCTCACGTGTGAAACAATCACAGGTTGTGCTAAGAGCTGTGAACATCAGATCTCGGTCGGAGGGGATAACAGGACACCCTACCGTGGGCGAGCATTGTCCAGAAAGTGGATGAGGGAAGGCGCAGGCTGGCAAAGCTGCACTTGGGGAGGAGGGAGGGCGGCCACGGGGGGCTGGACCTGGGATCTGGAAGACGAAGCAGCTACAGGAGGGGTTCAAAGAGCCACAGGGGACCCTCAAAGGTCTAAAGCTGAGGAGTGATGAGTCTGGATTTGCATTTAAGTAAACATTACTCTGGAATCTCTTGGGCAATGGGGTTGAAGAAAGCCAGTGCAGAAGCCAGGAGATTCATTGGAAGGCCACGCCAGCTCACTCAGAGGGAGGCAAGGGCCTGGGCCGGGGGCAGCAGCGCCTGCAGATAGATAGGGGAAGACTGGAGATGTAGGGTGGGGAGGGCAGGGGTCATGGAGCGTAAAGTGTGGTTTCCACGTGTATGGGCTGAGCTGACCGGGAAGTGGACGTGCCACCTGCAGATCTTGGGCTAAATCCTATGGGGCACAATCCAGGTTTACTCAGATATTAAAATGACGCCGAGGACCCCAGTGTGGAGAAAACTTGTATGTTACCATTTACATAGGAATTATCCCCAAGCCGGGCAGTTCTCCTTGGCTCCTGGGTTGTGTGTCCTGTTCGTCACGCGTCTATTCTCATCCTTAGGATCCTGTGTGTCCAGTCCTAAACAGGACTATCTGGCTATGTGATGCTCCTTGTCATTATCTAATAATGTAAGTGAACGTTTTTGGATATGTGGCAAAGTAACATTCTGAATTATGACACTGAAGGCTTTACGACTTTTTAAACTCTGTCCTCAGGATGATTCTCCCTCCTTGAATGCTGACTCCCTCTCTGCCCAGAGAGGAGAACATGGACCCCTCGCCATGGGACTGGAAAGTAAAGGCTGGAGAGCCTGGCACTTTGGTCCAACGGCCGCGGCCCCAGTGTAAGAAGATGTTTTCCTTTCTGCACACTAGATAAAGGCTGCTGTTATTTAGGAAAGGAAAGATGTGGGCTTGGGGTCCACAAATAGCAGAGGGGACTGAAGTTCCTGGTGACCACAGCTGAGAGCCCCGTTCAGCTCTGGGGGTAGTTGATACCATGGCATGCTGGGGCCATCATCCCCTTCTGACATCTGTTCCACAGCCTGGCTCGCTGTCTGCCCTCCTAAGACGGGGTTGCAGCCCAGACCCTGTAAGCCTGGTACTCCATACCCTGAATGCACAGATCAATCCTGCTTCCTGCCAGCTGTTCTACCGAAATTATGAATAGAGCCCCTTTCACTCTCAACAACATCATGGCTGAGGCGATCAATTATATGGTCACCCTATGAGACCAGGAGAGGAGGGCCCCTTTGTCTTGACCAAGGCAGGAACTAGGTGGCACCGGGGCAGAGCACTCCTGTCCCAGGTGTGAGAACTCATCCTAGGAATGCCTAGGTCCACGTCTCCGAGAACAGCACAACTTACCTTTCAGGGAACGTGCTTCTAATGGTTTTTTTCTTTTTATTACCAAATTTGACTTAGAAAGTCAAATGGTTGCCTATTAGAGAAATTCTATGGTGTTGCTTACTGAACCACACAATAAAGTGTGAAACCTTGACAGTGTCTGGTAGTATACAATAATACACCTAAATCTACTCTTTTTTTCCTCGGCGATAGGGTCTTACTTTGTCACCCAGGCTGGAGTGCAGTGGCGCCATCATAGCTCACTGCAGCCTCCACCTCCCATGTAGCTGGGACTACAGGCTTGTGCCACCATGCCCGGCTAATTAAAATCCACCCTTCAAAAAAATACTGATTGAATTCACTATTCCAGTTGCTACAGATCAAAAACTGCTGAGACGCGCTTCCTGTCCTCCAAGAAGAGAAGCATTCCACACAAGGCAGATGGATATTAAGTGCAGAATCACGAGAGTGTGACGTGGACGAGATCAGTGAGCAAAGGGCCCACAGAGAACACAGTCTAAGAACAGGCGGGATTTCAGCTGAATCCTGTGTGGAAGTCAGAATCATGGACTCCATGTGTGGAAGCTGAGAAGGCACGAGGAAACCCAGCTGCAGGCGGAGTCTAGAGATGGACACGGACAGGGTCCCAGGGACTGCGAATGCCTGGAAGGCACACAGCACAGTGAACAGATCGGGGAAAAGCACGGCTTCCTTCAACGAGAGCAAGCATTACTATAAGGTCTCTCCCCAAACTTGTTCAGTTTTCCTGGGGCTCCCATTCCCTGGATTCTGTTACTTTCTCCTTAAATATTGATGGCTCGTTGCTAGCAGTTCCCCCCAAACCATGACGTAACTGTGTCTTCTGTCAATTTCACCACGTTCTTGCAAATGGAGGCAACTCCTGATAAGACCCAATCCCAGATCAGCCTGGGCTGCCGAGAGCTTCCAAGAACATCAGGTAAATGGAGACTGATGCTAAAGTCACAGCCGCCGAGTTCAGCAGGTTCTTAAAGCCATCGTGAGCCTTCTCCGCCTCTTGCCTGCTTTGTCTTTACTTTTTCCTCTCTGTGGTTTTTTTCCCCCACCAGCATTTAAATATCAACAAGTCTTTCTTACCTGAAAAATAAATACCTTGAACAGACTTTTCTGCTTTTGGTCAAGATAGAGTCATAGGAACCTTAGGTACCCTTCTGTTTGAAACAACTAAAAAAATAGATGAAATGCATGAAAAAGTGGCACTCCAGACATCGGACCTCAGGCAACAAAAGAGCAATCCATTAAAGACAGGAGGCGGGAGAGGCATGCTGGGGATTAAACAGCATCCAGACTCTCCTAACATCACTGGGAGAGTCTCCCAGGCACGACACAGTGCGGGACCCAGGGAGAGCCTGGTGGTCCCCCTGAATGGGGGAATCAGAGCTGGGCATCCAGTTAGACAAGAGAGTTAGAGTCCCCAGGGCAGAGAGCTGGAGAGAAGAGATCTTCAGAGACAATTCGCCAGAGACCTGCAGATCTTGAGTTAAGTCGAGTGCAGTTCAGCAGGTCGGTCCTGCAGGGACCATGCCCGGGGCCAGAGGAGGAGCCCCCCAAAAGGATGAGTGGGAGCAGCACCCCGTGTCACAAGGGCTGGAAACATGCCCGTCGCGAAAAGCCCAAGAATGCCCTTCTTACTCAGGGGCCATCTGTTAGGCTTCTAAGATGGCTCTTGCTTCAGTCTCACTTGACAAATCCCAAATCCACTCCTGATAAAGTCTTTCATCAAACAGCAGGAGGCATTCCTCAGCCTGATAAATGTAGCCCATGGAACCCCGAGGCACAGGGGTGGGGTGCGATGTTCCTGCTGGGTGGTTGCCTCCAGGCGCGTGCACAGGTATGTGGCAGCACATCTGTGTGTGTGCGTGTTACGCCCCATGATTGTAGTGATGCCACTGGCTTTCATTCAGCTCTGCATGGCTCATTCCAGCCCTTTCTCCCCAATTCTCTATAACCTCCCACTCTGTCTGGAAGATGCTAACACCCACCATCACTGTCCATGCACTTAGCTGCTTGGTTCCTCTGCGTGTGTAGCGTGGTTTCAGAGTTCTTAGTCCACACCTCCCCTGGAAACAACATTATCAGCCAGAGAACAGTTCTTAGGCCCGGTCTTTGTGCCTCATGGATCCCACCTGTTTCCAAAGTCACTTATTCAGCATGCTGCACCCACTCGCCCCTGCAGGGAGGCTGCTTCACACCCTGGGATACAATCACAATTCTTTTGTCACAGGCTGCATTCCATGCTGGAATCTCCCCACCTCCCAAATGATGTTTAAAATATTTTCACTGATGTGTTGTAGTTATGCAGATTTTCACTGATGTGTTGTAGTTGTGCAGATTTTGCATATTTTGGCATACGGCTGATGTTTTTATCCTTGTGTACAATGTGTACTGTTTAAATCATGGCAATTGGGATATTCATCACCTTGTTTATCTTTCGTTTGTGTTGGGAAAATTACAGTTTTTCTTTTCTAGTTATTTTGAAATATACAATAAATTATTGTTAACTGTAATTTCTCTACTGTACTATTGAATACTGAAACTTATTATTTTTACCTAAGTGTATGTTTCCATTAACTAACCATTCTCTATCTCTCTTCTCCACTTCTCAGCCCCTGCACCATCATTCTACTCTCTATGTCCATGAGATCCACGTTTCTAGCTCCCCCATATGGGCGAGAACATGAGATATTTATTTTTCTATGTCTGGCTTCCAAATGATTTTTTAAAAACTTTGCATACACTTGGGTTTATTCTTTGTGCTATAAAGTTTAATGGGTTTTGACAAACACAACATATCATGTATTCACCATTATAGAAGTGTACTGAATAGTTTCATCACCCTGAAATATCAGCTGTGCTTCACCGAGCCCTCTCCCCCTACAACCACTGGTTTGTTCACTGTCTCTATCATTTTCTCTTTTCCAGAATGCCACACAAATGGAATCATATTGTGTGTTGGCTGTTCACACTGGCTTGTTTCACTTAGCAATATGCATTTAAGATTCATCTATGTCTTTGGTGGCTTAATATCACATTCTATTTTTTTAAAAAAAGGAGATGTAAAAAACCTACTGTAAAAGTGTTCAATTTAAAGTACAATTCAGTAGTTTTTAGTACATGTGCAACTATCATTGCTAACTAATTACAGAGCATTTATGACTGAATAATATTCCATTGTACAGATACGCCATGGTTTGTCTGTCCCTTCACGTGGGGAAGGACAGTTTGGTTGTTTTCCATTCCTGACAATTATTTTAACAGCAGCTCCAAACATCCTTCTGCAGGCTTTGTGTACACATAGGTTTTCAAATCAGGTGACTGAATGCCAAGGAGTGCAGTTGCTGGATCACAGGCTAAGACTGTGTTTGGCTTTGTAAGAAATCGCCAAGCTGTCCTCCAAAGTGGCCGTGCCATCTTGCTTTCCCACCCATGTGGGTCACCAGCGTTCCATATTCTTGTCAATTTTTTCAGTTTTAGACATTTTAATAGGCATGTAGTAATGTCTCTTGTTTTAATTCCCACAAATGGAAAATGATGTTGAGCATCTTTTCATATCTACTTGCTTTCTGTGTATTTTCTTTGGTGAAGTATCTGGCTGGATCTTTTGTTGGTTTTTAAATTAGATTTTTTAAAAGTGTTTAGTTTTATGAGTTGTTTGCATATTTTGGATACAAGTCCTCTACCACATAGGTGTTTTGCAAATATTTTCTTCTTGTTTTTGTTGTTTTTTTCTCTTAACAATATATCTGCATAGTAATCTCTTTCATATAGTAGAAATTTTAAATGTTAATAAAGTGTAGTTTAACAATTTTTTTTCATGGATAGTGTACCTTCCTGAAAACTCATCACCAACCCTAAGGTCGTGTACACTTTTGCTATGTTTTCTTCCAGAAGTTTTATAATTGTTCATTTTACGTTTTGAGTTAATTAAATTAAATTAATTAATTTATTTATTGAGATGGAGTTTCGCTCTTGTTGGCCAGGCTGGAGTGCAATGGCACGATCTGACTCACTGCAACCTCTGCCTCCTGGGTTCAAGCAATTCTCCTGCCTCAGCCTCCTGAGTAGCTGGGATTACAGGCATGTGCCACCATGCCCAGCTAATTTTGTATTTTTAGTAGAGATGGGGTTTCACCATGTTGTTCAGGCTCGTCTCAAACTCCTGACCTCAAGTGATCCACTTGTCTTGGTCTCCCAAAGTGCTGGGATTACAGGCATGAGCCACCAGGCCTGGCCTCATTTTGAGTTAATTTTAATGTAAGGTGGAAGTTCTGGGTCTAGGTTCATTTCCTTTTTTTTGCATATGGATGTCCAAAATGGAATTGCCTTTGTGCCTTTGTCAAAAGTCAGTTGACTGTCTTTGTGTATGCTTCCTTCTGCTGTGTCTGTTTTGTTCCATGGATCTATGTCTTTTCTGTGGCCAATACCTCACTGGCTTGATTTCTGTAGCTTTAGAGTAAGGTAGTGAGAGTCATCCAACTCTTTCATCTTTAATATTCTGTAGTCTAGCCTTGGTCTTTTGCCTTTCCATTTAAACTTCAGCTATCAGTTGCTAATATTGGCAAAATAGCTTTCCGAGATTCTGATTGGGATTGTGTTAGATCCATAGATCAACTTGAGAATTCACACCTTGACAATATTGAGTTTTCCAATGCAAGGACAGAGAATGTCTCTATACTTATTTAAATATTTTATTTCTTTCATTATTGTGTTTTCCTAAAACACAGATGCTGCATATATTTTGTATGTTATTTTTTGTGCTATTATGAATGGTATTGTTTTTATAGTTTCAATTCCCAATTGTCTTTTGCTGATATATATGAGAAAATGAACTTTTGTATTTTAACCTTGCATTTTGTGACTGCACTATTATTGCTTATTATTTTTTAATTATTTGGGATTATCTATTAATACATAAACACCAATGCCATCTGTGAATAAAGAGAGTTTGATTTTTCATTTCAAATCTATGCCTTTTATTTTTTTTCTTGTCTTTTTTTGCACTAGTTAGGCCTTCTACTACGATCCTGAATGGGAGTGCTGGGGGACATGCTTGATTTGTTCTCAGCCTTAGAAGAAAGCATCCAGTCCTCACCATTAGGAGTCATGTCAACTGTAGGAGATTTGGGTAGATATTTTCTATTAAGTTAGAGGAGCTCCCTCTATTCCTAGTTTTCTAAGAGTTTTTATCTTGAATGTGCATTGACATTCGCTGTACGTTTTTTCTGCATCAATTGATGTGACCATATGCACTAACTTTACTTCCTACCGGGCAGTATCACCTGCCATCTGACATTCACTAGTTGCAGCTCTGAACTGTAGAGTTCGGCAGCCTATAGGCAACTAGACTTTTCTGAAAGTCTCAGTACCCAACAGAATTTAATTTAGATGCTTGTGGTCTATTGAGGCTAGCTCCGTACTAATGTTATATCTGCTACCAGTGGGAGTTTTACCAATGAAACGCTAGTATCTGCCACTTTCTAAACTACATCTCAATGAAAATGTTGCCTCTGTTGCGTTCGCTACATGCTTACACTCGTGAATCCCAGAGGTTGAGGTTACAGTCAGTAGTTTACACCACTGGTATTACAGCTCTGAGCAAATATAGCTTTATGTCTACATTGCCACACATTTACATCTATGATATTATATTACTTAGAGAAACTGCCATCCATCTGCATGTGTGATAATGCTCCATAATTTTTGATTAGTCAAAGGAGCTTTATTCCTCACAAATGGAAAAGAAGGAGAAAATATAACAGCTTTGTCAGTATGTTAAGTAGCTTACCTTTCCTCCTATATTTTCCCGCTTTCTTTTGTCCCCTGCAAACAACATCTGTTCACTATATTTTTGGTGTTTCTCACAAATAGAAATGAATAATTCAGCTTGACAGTGCAGTAGTCAAATGACACCTTTAGGCACTATTTACATCCAGTAAATAATTCTTTTTGCAAGGTAGATGGTGGAGACAGACCAGCAACTCCGAGGGTCCAGAAATGACTTATGGGTTTCCTAGCAGACTAGCTCCTGGGGCTAATTGTGACACATGGGAGGGTAAGAGCCTGGTTAGTTCTGTAGAGCTGACTTCAGTTCTCAGGGAATTTGAACAGTGATCTGATTGTTTCTTGAAATATGCACTTGTTGGTGACAGCCACATGTTTATTTGTTTTTCTACTCAATCCCTGAGAACATTAGAAACAATATATATTTAAATAGTTCCCAGCAGATAGATATTTAAAAAATATTACTAGAATTGTAATCATATGAGAAGTTCTGTAAAGAATTAAGTTCACATGATATCAAGACACATCAAACAATATTCCATTTCTATCTATTCTTCTCCAATCTTTTCTTTCATGTTATTATTTAATACAGAGTATAGGACTAATAGTAGTCAATAAATATTGTTTATTGATTGGTGACTCATTCTGTATCTTCATTTGCAAGTGGAGTTTTAAGAACATATCTCCATAAATATTCATGTAATTTCAAAGGGTATTTTCAAAGTTTTCATATTCTGGTGAGAGAGAAGTACTGGTAATGTAAACAAGTACAGTCTTTCTTGTTTTAAATTAAGTGAACTGCAAAGTTTCTGGTGTAATTTAAGTTTCCTGAAATAGTAAAAACAGCTTCCAAAGGAGCCTGAGGAGATAAAATATTATTGAAGAACAGAGAATTTAGGAGTCCTCATCCGTATTCCTCAGTTGTTGGAATTTCATGAAGAAGTAAAATTAAAAGATTGATATAAATTCATCAACTTTTAAAATCTGTTTAATTGGAAACAGTTGATACACACTCAAAACACAGAATGTGATCTATTATCACCATCTTTTGAAGAAAGACCCAACATTTAAAGATTTTTGTTCTTATGTTTCTTATTTTGCTGCAGACCAGTGAAAACCCGGTCACAGACTGTCTGCTGCCTCTCAGAACTAGCACAGCCCGCTCGCTTGCAGGTCTCCATGAGTGCGAGGGGAACAAGACCTTTGTGTGCTGAGGGCCTGCTGTGCAGGGGACTTTGTGGCATGTGTGTCTGCGTGTGTGTTTGTGGGGTGTGTGTAGAATGTTAATGTGTGTGGTGCATGTGTCTGTGTGTGTGTAGTGTGTCTCTGTGGATAGTGTGATAGCGTGTGCGTCTATGTCTGTGTGTATGGGTGTGTATGTAGCATGCACGGTGTGTGAATGGGAGTCCCTGTGTTTCTGTGTTTGTATAGTGTGTGAGTGTGTCTTTGTGTGTCTCTGTTCATATATGTACATGTGTCTATGTCTTTCTGTGTGTTTAGTGTGTGTGTCTCTGTGTGTTCAAAACAGTGTGTATATAATGTGTATATATGTGTATCTGTGTATGTACAGTGTGTGTAGTGTGTGTCTCTGTATAGTGTGTGAGTGTATATAGTGTGTGTGTAGTATGTGTAAGTGTAGTGTGTGTTTGTGTATAGTATTTGTGAGTGTATGTGTGTGCACATGTCTATAGATGTGAGGTGTGTGAGTGTGTGTTGTGGGTGTGTGTGTCTTTGTGTGTGTATAGTGTGTCTCTGTATGGTGTGCATACTGTGTATGAGTGTGTGACTGTGTATAGCATGTGTAGTGTGTGTGCCTCTGTATGTGTAGTGTGTGTGTCTGTGTGTAGCATGTGCAGTGTGTGTGTCCATGTATGCCGTCTATGTGTGTGAGGGTGTATACTGAGTATGTGTAGTGTGAGTATGTCTGTGTATGGTGTGTGTGCATGTGTGCATGTGTATAGTATGTGAGGTGTGTATGTTTATCTTGTGTGTCTATGTATAGTGTGTGTATCTGTGTGTATATTTGTGCAAGTAGTGTGTGCTGTGTGTGCATGTGTATAGTGTGAGTGTGTCTGGTATGTCTGTGTATAGTGTGTGTGTGTGACTGTGTATACTATGTGTGTGTTTGTATGGTGTGCAGGTGTAGGTGTGAGGGGTGTGTGTGTACGGTATGTGTCTCTGTACAGTGTGTGAATGCATACAATGTGTGTGGTATCTGTGAGTGTGTCTCCATGTGTACTGTTTGGGAGTGTGTGAGGGTTACAGTGAGTGTGTAGTGTGTGCGAGTGTGTCTGTGTATGGTGTAACATGTTATTTCCGATGCAAGCACTGTTGAAAGAGGTCCCACGGAGCCTGTAAGGCCTGGCCCAGGCCACTCCACCTGCATAACACGCGCATGTGTGGGTGCATAGTGTGAGTGTGTTTGTTTGTAGTGTGTATAGCAGCCAGCATGTTATGGTGTGTGTCTGTGTGTGTGCAGTGTGTACAGTGTATGTCTGTGTCTGTATGCAGTGTATGTACAGCGTGTAGTGTGTACATGTGTGCAGCATGTGCTGTGTATCTGTGTGGTGTGTGTATAGTGTGTCTGCATGTGTGCTGTGTGTGTTTGCGTGTGTATGCCGTGTGTGTATGGTGTGTGTTTGTGTGCATGTGTGTACAGTGTGTGTGCGTGTGTGCAGTGTGTGTAGTATGTACATGTGTGCAGCTGGTGCCGTGTGTGTAGTGTGTGTGTACAGTGTGTGTGCATGTGTGCAGTTGTGTACAGTGTGTATGTGTGTAGTGTGTACGTGTGTGCAGCATGTGTGGCCCTCTCAGGACCCCTGTCCAGTGAGAACACCGTCTTTGAGGCCCTCGTCCTCCGTGGGCCGGTCATCCCGGAGCACCTGGGCCTGTGCTCAATGGGGTTCGGGCTCAGGACGCGCGAGTTACGCTCGGTGCGTGCAGATGGAGCAGCCTGGCGGGACCTGGGGAGGCCCCATCGAGCTCCTTCCACAGTGCTTGCTTTGGAAATAACATCCCAAGGGGTCTGGGAGGAAACGGCTGCAAAGGCCACGTCTATGGGTCACGGATTTGGGGGAATTTTGGTTGGGAAGCACACGGCAGGGCGAGGGCAGGAACTCTGGCGTGGGCGGGACTGACCGCACAGCACCCAGGGCCTTGGGGCCCCGCTATGAGTTCGCCGGTCGGGACCAGGGTTCCTCCATGCTGGGGGACTGGAGCGGACTGGAGGTGGCTCCCACCCGAGGCTGACGGACCTGGAGAAACCCAATGTGTGTTTGGGGTCAGGGCGTGGTCAAGGCCCGGAAGGCAGTTCTGGAGACCAGTGGAGAGGCCAGAGGGCCCCGGGGAGAGGCCTGGGCAGAGCTGGGGCCCCCGGCCGGGCTGGAAGGTGAAGCTGGGGGACATTCTCCTAAGGATGCGGATACCACAAGGGGTCAGGAGCCCACTCAGGGGCCCCGCTGCGCGATGGTGCAACGGGACCTGCACTCAGGACCCCCACACCAGGGGCCCGGGGCCGTGCTCTGCCCCACACCCAAAGATCCTGCGTCCACGGACCGCTTTCCTCTCCTCCTTCCCCTCGTCTTCATTTGCATGGAGTCTCTTGGGAGGGCGTAAATATCACAGTGACTTGGTCTCTTTAGGTCTAATTCATGTAAACCATAATTAAAGATGGGTTCCCACCTGGCTCGCATCGACATGCAGGTTGCCTTAATTCTTAATTTCCTGACATTTATTTGCCCCTGCTTGACTGCAACGGGACCTGAACCAAGAATCTGATGATGCGTGGAACGCCAGGAGAAGCTCGAATCCCTGCCTGGTAGAGGCTGGTTTTAATCGCTGCCTGAGATCAGCGACAAGGTTGAAAATATTATCAAGCTAAACTTTTCAGTCTAGTTCCACTTCCTCCCAAAAGGATTGCTGTATGAAATTAATAGGATTACAGATAATCCCTGAAAGAGGCAGGATTAACACTGAACATAAAACCAACTGATATCAATTTCCCTAACACTTGAAAAATCAGCGTCTTGTAGGGGAGGCTGCGGGCTGCCCGGAGACCCTGCTGGGGAGAACACGGATTTCATCCCGTTGACAGGCACATTTCCTCCTCCAAAAGTCAGGAAATGTTACGACGGAGACTGTCGCTCAAAACCCTCTGCCGGTTTAGAAATGCGTTGCTGTTCTTTCCCCGCAATACTCGCAGTTTAATAAGGAGCCCTTATGTGTACACTCAAGGTTGCTTTTAGCTGTTGAAGAATTAGGAAATTAGGGTTCCATCGGGTAATTTTTGGAAGAAAAGAAATATTTCCTATGCAAGTGGTCTGTGTAAAATTTGTTGCTATTTCATTAAAACATTCTGTTTTGTGTCCTTCCTCCCACTCTCCTCTCTTCCGCTGCCCAAGCCCTCTCTCTATCTCTCTCTCCCTCCCTCCTCCTCCCCCTTCCTCCCCCCTCCACCCTCTCCTCCCCCCTCCACCCTCTCCTCCCCCCTCCACCCTCTCCTCCCCCATCCACCCTATCCTCCTGCTTCTCTTCCTCCTCCTCTTCCTTCTTTTTTCTTCTTTCTTCTCCTCCCACCCACCTTTCTCATTCTTTATCCCTTCAATAACTTGCAAACATTTCTCCTCATTTCCAACTAGGGTTTGGAAAGACAGTTCAGGCCTTCAAATACATGAAATACCTAAGAGTAGTGGGAAGGCGGCTGTGACGCTCTCCCGGTCCGCAGGTTCACTCACTTTGCCATTTTCGGGGGTGGAGGATGTGGATGATGGTGCATATGTGTTCCGGTGCTGAGTACCCATTTGAATGCAGAAGCAGAGAGATATTCACTTATTATCAGTTTTCTGCATTACTTCATTTCATGACGTTAAAACAATTGCTGCCAAGGGGCTCAGCTGTCCACAACCAAGAGATTGAGAGCTCCAGTGATAGAAGGTAGCAATGTTATTCAGAGGAACACACTACGTCATTTTCTGACTTAGAGAAAAAGGCGACTCACAGGAGACTCAGAGAAGAGGGAGTTCTTCAAAAGTTAGAAACATGAGTGAAAAACAGAGTTACTAAAACAAACAGATAAGCTTATGATGGGTGCAGTAGGAGCTCCATGAAGTTGTTAATTACTTCTTAAGAAAGCTACTCGCATCTCCCGGGTGTAAAGTTTCCTCTCTTAAACGCATCATAACATTAATCAACAATGTGTTTTCTATGACTCTCCATGAGAGCAAAACAAATCAGTGTGGTTAATCTGCACTTCTGTTGTGGGGTCTCCCAACCCTCCGTCTGGTGTGAAAACACATAGAGACACATGCACTGGTTCTCTGCTGGCTACATTGTTTCTCCTCTTCACAGTTCAAGATCCTAGCTCTTCGTGGAAGCATTGGAGTGACACCATACTTACAAATATTTCTAAGCTTCGGTTCTTGAGGCCAATGAATAGATTAACAAAAAATATGCATTACCTCTTCAACTCTGAAGCTATGGTCCTATTGTAAAAAAGAAATACGTGAAAACACATACAGCTTTCTGAGTAGCCTGTTTTAGTTTTTCAGTTTGAAATTTTTTGGAAGACAGTACACTAAACAGAGATCTTAAATGACCATTTGTAGAAACATTTAGATGTGCAAAAAATCAAATCGAACAACTTTTAATAATACTTTACTGCCAGAGGAAAATAAAATTGGAGTTGCTACTATAAAATAAAAAGCAATCAACAACTTTCGGGGGCTGTTTCTTTTCTTTTCTTTTCCTTTTTTTTTTTTTTTTTAACAGGATCCTGCTCTGTCACCCAGGCTGGAGGGCTGGAGTACAGTGGTGTGATTGCAGCTCACTGCAGCCTCAATCTCCCAGCCTCATGTGATCCTTCCAGCCAGCCTCCTGAGTAGCTGGGACTACAGGTGCATGCCACCACGCCTGGCTAATTTTTTGTTTTTTTTGCAGAGATGGGGTCTCACTGTGTTGCCCAGGCTGGTCTCAAATTCCTGAACTCAAGATATCCTCCTGCCTCAGCTTTCCACCGTGCTAGAGTTCCAGGTCTTAGCTGCTTCTTAAGGACCTATCTCAAATGATGCAAAGCAGAGGAAAAAAATTCAATGTTTCTAGAAGGAAAACAAGAATAACTGTCTATTATTTGTGAAAGTAATAAGTGGAACTATTAGGGCTAGGAAATATGGCCCTTGATCCTCAAAGCCTGACCATGGTCAATGCATTAAGGTATAAAGCTCTATTTGCAAGAGGGGATTGGGGGGAAACTTGATCACTAACAATAAGACTTAATTCTTGTTCAGTAACAGTTATTTCATAAGGAGATGATAAGGTCATAAAAAATTGAGAATTCAATAAACTTTAAGCAGCCTTGTTAATATAAATTATTTATATTTTATTCAAATAAACAGTATTGAAGCTTCTACCTGAAAATGTAATTCTTAAATTTTAAGATACTCTGGATTTAACAAAAACCAAAGGACAGGCTCTGGTAAAATAAGAGCTACCTTCCTTTAACATGTTTCTTTACCCAACTTACTCCAGGATCCACGTGTCTCCTAGAGCCCTTCTAGAATGTTCCATCCAGACTAGACGTGAAAAGCATGATGTTGAGTAGTGGCTGCAATTCACCGCGTGTTCAGTCTCGATGATGCTCTTTCAGGCATTATAAAACGACTCAGAGAATTGATGTGTTCAATCTCCACCACACTCTCCCAGGTGGTATAAAGCAACTCAGAGAACTCACGTGTTCAGTCTCCACGACGCTGTCCCAGGTGTTATAAAACGACTCAGAGAATTGACTATTCAGTTATAAAATGACTCAGAGAATCGATAATTTTGGTTCATTGTGTTTGGTTATTTAAATTTGTTGCCTCCACATGAAAATTTTTGCCCCTACTTTGCCCCAAACCACTTCTGAGACACATTTAAGTGTCAGTCTCCAGAACAGGAAGAAATCAGCAGCTTCTGTGTCTCTGAAGAAGACACAGGATTCACTTTCGTCTCAGGCCTCATACCCCGCTGTGGGTGGTGTGCTCCAGTGCCAACTTTCTGGAGGACGATTTGGGGGCACATACGAGAAAGGTTTAAAGTGTACAAAATGCCAACCCAGAGATTGCACTTCCAGAAATGTATCCGCAGAAAAGAACCAGACACATACACACTTTTTGCAAATATAGAATTACAAAAGCCTTCTTGTAAACACGTACTGTTGTTTGAAACAAGTAGGAATTAAAAAAAAAAATCCTGGCTTGTCCAATGTAGTGGTTATCAGAACTGATTAACATTGGTGTCACTAAAGTTGGTACACGACCCCACACTGCTAAATGTGACTGGCTTAACAATAAACATAAATTGCCTGAAATGGGAGATTTTTGTGAAGAAATTATGGAGTGGCATGGCACGAATACTGGACAGACACTGAAGACGAAGCTGATGTGTGTCCGTTGACTAAGAGGACATGTAAGGTATGCTGTTAAGGGAAGAGTCGGTTATGGGATAGCAGGTCTGGGACATCAACTGGGTGTAGGGTGTTTGGGCATGGAAATCTGTATCTGGATCTTTCCTGCCATTGCATGCAGGTAGGAACGTATCTGGATGGATAGACGCCAAAATGCTCACGGTGTCACAGTACATGTCGCTGGGGGTACACAGGAATTTTTAAAATACTTTTCTATGTGTTTGGTTTTTATCCCTCATTTGTAAATGTAACAATGAAGATGATTTCATTTAAAATATTTTCCTTTTTCTTAAGGAGTATGAGGGCAGGACCTTGTCATATTCACGATTTCTGCCTCAATATTCATTGTGGTGGGGTCACAGAATAGGGCTCAACCCCAGCACTGGTGAGCATGTGGCCTGAGGTCTGGTCTGTCCAGAAGCAGTTGCAATGGAGCAGGTGTTCCTGACCTCATTTATCGCCCGCGCCCTCTTGCCAGCACAGTGGGAAGAACAAGGGAGTAACAAACCCAAACATGCAACGGTTTTGATCTGTTCTTGGCAAGAGCAGTGACGTCAGAATGAAGGTACAGACATGGGGACACAAATTTCATAAAATGTATGTCACTTCACTTTACCTAGCCACAGCATGAGGGCCTAATAAATATTGTAATACATTGGGCTGGGTACATAGAGCAGGTGTTCCTATTCAGAGAGTGGTGTGGCTACTGGCGTGTGTGGGAGAAGGGACATTTCTCACGTGCAGCAGCCACACGCCCAAGCCTGGTCCAAGCCCTGGAAAAACAACCCAGTTTCCATGTTACCATGTGGATGGCCCGGCTCTTACCTGCCTCCAGCCTCCTGCTCTGGTTTCCCACACAGCGATTCTCTGTGAGGTTACCAGGAGCTCAGCTTTGAAGGATCCATTGGGAGCCCATGGAGCTCAGCAGGGTAGGAAATTGCTCGTGTCTGCTACTGAAGGCTCTAAGCTGGAAGGAGGCAGAATCAATTGCAAACATGGTGCTCGTCTTCCAGTGTACAATTTGAAAGTTCAAACAGTTGTCTCTCTCTACCCTGTATTGTAGGAATAAGAAGCTTTGCTGCTGAAGAGAGGAAGAGGAAGAAGGATGTTGAAAAAGAGGTGGTTTGTTGTCAAGGCTTCAAAACTCTTCCCCAAATTTGAAGTGAACTGCAGGTTCCCTTGCTGTGACGTGGCCTCACACCTGCCTCTCTCATTAAATTTTGCAGAACTCCCCAGCAAAACCATTCCTTGCTTGGCTCTGCAGGAGACTGAGGAAGCTATTGCCTGTTGCCAGAGCAGGACCAGCTCCCAATGTTACAGTGTCACCTCTCACATCGCCCAGCCTTATTTTACATGCATTTTTGTCTTCCGAAAACGATTCTTTTAAGATCTGCAGTCACTCAAATGAACAGGCATGAATGCACAGTACAGTTTATCAAAATTGGAAAGCCTTCCAGGGGAACAAGCTTGCTTTTGTAAAGTCAAGCTCAATCTTGAGTAACACTTCCCTGTTCACAAGCCCTGGTTCACAGTGTGCTAAGTCATCTCAGGCATGCCAGGAACCTGCCCTGCCCTCCCGCGGCTCTTGGGGCCCTGCCAGAGAGCTGTGCTGTTGGCACTGTAGGCTCTCTCTGGTGTTTCTAGGGACAAATCTCCATGAATAATAGAGACAAAACACGAAAAGCAAAACAAAAACAACCACCAACCTTGTCATAATTCTGTGTGGCTGTCCATCTTAGTGAATCCCTGTGTCTTGGCACCTGTGATCATTATTTCATTGATCTGTGAAAAGCTTTGATGGAACATTGGCATTTATATTGAGGTAGACGCACCAGATGTGCGCTAACCTTTCAGATTTTCCAGCTGTCTAGTGTCAAAAGCCAATTTCCAAAGGAAAAAAAGATCAACAGTTAACACTATTATTTCAGAGCTCAGTGTCAAAATGTCAAAAGAAAGCAGAAAAGCCTCGGAGAACATGCAGTGTGGGGTTTCCATTTGGAAGCTAAGCAGCCAGTTTCATGCGCTTTCAGAGAAAAACACGTAAAGTTTTGTGTTTTGATGATCAGTTTTACACTTTTTCAGACTTCCCTTTTCTTGCCTTGACGGCTGACTGCAGTCACCCCGGCAAGGAAAAGTTAAAGAGAATCTCAGACACTAATTGCCACCAGGAAGATGGATGTTGAGAAAATATTTGGGGAGAATATTGTCCTGAGTCCTAACCATCCAGGTGCCTCCAACACACTATATTTATGAGCTGGTTGCACATGAAGAATTTCCACTGTGAGGGGCCAGCAGTGGCATTTCCAAAAATTAAAGGGGGTCACCAAATTGGCTGTAGACGTTTGAGCGTCCCTGGTGTCATCCTGGCCCTGGCTGGGCGGACAAAAGCATCTTCCCATAGCTGTGCCGGAGAGGTGAGGCTGCCAGACGAAATACAGGACACTGAATATTGCATGCAGCATTTTATGCTAAAAACTATTCTTTGCTTATGTAAAAATTTAACCAGGCAACCCATGTTTTTATTTACTAAATCTGAAGATTTTAGGCTGAGGACACAGACTTGGACTCAGACCTGCCTTCCAGTGTTGACATTCCTTTCCCAAGCTCTGTGATCCCCATGGAGTCTGGGATGATCTCATTCATATTCCCGCATCTGATGGTATGTTATGGGGTAGAGAGTGTGCATTCAACACGCCCAGTGCAGGGAAGCTCTGAGGACCAGAGCAGCTGTGACTTGTACCCTCCTTAGACTTTCCATCTTTCCAATGGCACCCCTGCATTCCGGGAGGCACGAGGGGGCTGAGTCCTGGAAGGCACACGAGAGAAGGGGTGAGGCAAAGCTCCTGCCTGAAGATGCCCACAGTGGAGGTGAACATCTGTGTCTACGGAGAACGCTGAAGCCACTCTGCTTTTGTCATTTCTTTGCGGGGATTTCTCTAAAATCTGAGATGAAGGCTTTGTTTCCTACACGACAGTGTCTTTCTCAGGCAACTGTCAATTTCTCACGGTGAGAAGGGTTTTGCTGTGTGGTGTGTGGACGTTCCTCACTGGGATCAGTGCTCTGTCCATAGACGTGGGGAAGAGCATCTGGCCTGGAACATGTGTGTTCTTCCCGCAAGGAGTTTCTGAGGAAACGCAGAGACTAGGGCCGTCTGGAGGCCGTGCTGAGCTGCGGGCTGCATTTCCTTCTGCAGGCCCCATGCAGGAAAAGACTCCCATGCTCCCGCAGGCCAGTTTTGAACCTGGTCAGTAGAAAATATTTCCCTTTAAATGGAAAATATTTCCAGAGGCACAGGCAAGACTCAGTCCAAGCATCTTGGGGAGGGACCCCTGCCTCCCCTAGCCCTGGCCCCTCTCTCTGCTCTGAGCATGCACATTCCTTAACCCGCAGCCGTGGGTTCCTTGGAGCTGCCCCAAGCAAGTGCCACAGACTAGTTGACTTAAAACAGCAGGCACTGATTCCCTTGCAGCTCTGGGGGTGGGAAGCCAATACTAAGGCGTGTGCAGGGCCATCATCCCCTCTTGGATGTCTCTCAGGGAGGAGCCTTCCTGCCTGTTCCAGCGTCCCGTGCCCCCGGTGCTCCTGGGCAGTGGCCACGTCACTCCAGCCTCCACCTCCATCTTCAGCGACCATTCTTTGTCCAAAGGACACTGGCCATTGGATTTAGGGTCCACCCTTGTCGAGTACGACTCATCTTACTGTAATTACAGCCACAAAGACCCCTTTTCCAAATAAGTCTACATTCAGTTTCCAGGGCTTAGGACTTGGAGTCGTCTTTTTCGGGGACACGACTTTGGTAAGTACCCCAAGACAATCTGGTACTTACCGCCTGTGCCCAATTGCTCTCTGTGGCTTCCTCGGCATCTGCGTCATCTGTGATGAGCATGAGTGACATTTCTGCGAAGAGGGGGTTGAGTTTACCTGAAGCTCTAGGGTTCTTCTCAAGCAAGAAAACAGAAAGTAAAACCAAAATAAAGCAAAGCAACTGTCTGCATGCTCAGACTTACGTAAAGTTATGAATGAACAATGATTTCATAACTGTCTGGGTTTGCCACATCTGCTAAACATTTCCTGTGGGCCTTTCTCTATTGGTTTGGAAAAAGCTCTCCTTCCTCTCCATTAGCCTGGCTCCATTTGTGTGCATTAGGCTCAGTGGGAAACAAAACCAAACTCAACAAAGCAAAATGACATCTTCAACTGAAACTGGTGGCCCCTGAGGGACCCTTATGAGTCATGAATAAAACAAACCAGGCAGCCGGGCGCGATGGCTCACGCCTGTAATCCCAGCACTTTGGGAGGCTGAGGAGGGTGGGTCACGAGGTCAGGAGTTAGAGACCAGCCTGGCCAATATGGTGAAACCTTGTCTCCAGTAAAAATACAAAAATTAGCCGGGTGTGGTGGCACGCACCTGTAGTCGCAGCTGCTTGGGAGCTGAGGCAGGAGAATCACTTGAACCTGGGAGGCGGAGGTTGCAGTGAGCCGAGATTGCACCATTGCACTCCAGCCTGGGCGATAGAGCAAGACTCCATCTCAAAACAAAAAAACAACAACAAAAAAACCAAAAACAAAAAAAGAAACAAACCAGGCATTAATGATTTGCTGAACCGATACCCTCCCCCAACACTTTTAAGTTTGCCTGGTTTGTGCCTGGGCATCACGAGGGAGGGAGGGCTGGCTGTGGCCAGGGCACGGGGGAGAGGGCAGGCAGTCATGCCGGGCGCCGGCACCCCAGGGTCAGGGCGCAGTGGGCGGTGTGCAGACGTCCCTTGGCCATGGGTCCCATAGCACCTCACACCTCTTCTGCGAAGCTTCACACCCACGCCCTCTTCAGCCTCTGTTCCTTGCTCTCCTGGATTCCCAGAGCTGGCTTGAGTGGAGACGTGCGGTCACTTACTGCTTCTCCTTGGCACTGGTGAATTTTCTTCATAGTTTTTATGCGACAAGGAACTCCTGATTAGGGGAGCTGCCCCTCTGATCTGTTAAGAGTCTTGCTACTAGGTCAGGGTGAGAAATGACTGTAAACATGTGGGAAAACATTTTCATGGTCCATTTTCAAGGCATGGTAGATCTAAATACTGGTAGCCAGTCTGCACATGTGACAAACGGCATGGCTCACGTGCAGCAAAAGTCAGGATAAGCAAACAGGATGCAGAGGAGGGGACAGCCCATAAAACGGAATAAAGTTTCATTATTGGGAAATCAAAACTTAAGCAGGAAAGGGGACCGGGGTATGACCCTGTAAGGGGATATGGAACTTAGGCGACATCCGGGAAGATTGTAACCCCACAGTACTTGATCAGTGGGGAACTGGAGGAGGGACTTGCGTGCTAGGAGATAAATTACCTGCTGTAGCTGCCGCAGGTGTGCCTGCCTACCAGACACGCCATCTTCAAGACCGCCATTAAAGGTCTTCCTTCCGTTGTTCTTTGGGTCTCTGAGTCCATTCTTTGGGTTTGGATGGGTGAATGTGTTTCTCACAAAACATTTTTATTTGAAATAATTACAGATTTTCAGCAAGTTGCAAAGCACACACACAGGAAGGTCTCATGCCTCCTTCACAGCCTCCGATGAAGGGTGACTTTTTTTTGAGACAGAGTCTCGCTCTGTCGCCCAGGCTGGAGTGCAATGTCATGATCTTGGCTCCTTGCAAGCTCCGCCTCCCGGGTTCACGCCATTCTCCTGCCTCAGCCTCCCGAGTAGCTGGGACTACAGGCGCCCGCACCATGCCCGGCTAATTTTTTTTGTATTTTTAGTAGAGACGGGGTTTCACCGTGTTAGCCAGGATGGTCTTGATCTCCTGACCTGGTGATCTGCCCACCTCGGCCTCCCAAAGTGCTGGGATTACAGGCGTGAGCCACCGCACCCGGCCGACGGGTGACATCTTGCAAACCCATAGTGCAGGGTCGCAGGCGGGAGCTTGACATCCATGCATCTGTAAAGTGTGGACAGTTGTCACCAGCTATACATGTGTGTCTCTGTGCGAGTCTGCGTGGGGGTCCATGCAACTTTGTCATGCCTGTCCCTTCTTTTCTCCATGTTATATGCCCAAGAGTGCAACCACAGGGTCACGCGGTAGGTCCATTTTTAGTTTCAAAAGGAAACTACCAAATATTTCCAGAGCGGCTGTACCATTTTACGTTCTCACCAGCAATGTGGTTATTCTTACGTGTGTATTTTTATATGTAACTTTAGTATCAACTTGTCAAGCTCCATAAAAATGTCACTGATATTTTTATTGGAATCAATTAAATGTATAAATTAATCTAGGAAGGACTCACAAACTGATGAAGTTGAGATGTCCCAACTGAGAACAAAGGTATTTTCTATGTAGTCAGTATAATTCTGTGTCTCATAACTGGCTTTAAAAATTAAAAAGATATGAGAATTTTTAATATTCCTGAATGTTCTGAGAATATGATTTCTATAATTAGACATAGTATTCCTTAAGTGGATATAAATGATTGATTCACACATTCATTAATTTGGTGTCCTGTGTTTTCAGTGTCAGAAGGGATGCTATGATACGGAGTCTTGCCTTTCTGTCTCTTAGAATCACCATGTTTGAATTATTGATTTTTACTTATTTGTTTTATCTGAGAGTCTTTACCTTTAAGTGTGGCATTTAACCTATTCACTTTTTAATATTGTTTGTTAATATAGCTTGTTTTAACTTCTGTTTTCTTGTTTTACACTTATTTATTCTTTTACTTTAGCTACTTTTCTGTATAACCTATAGGGTTTTTGATATTTTTCTTCCTTGCAAATGAAAAATTACAATCTGTTTTTATCCTAGAAGTGTTAATCTGTATGTCTTAAAAAGATTTAAACTTAAATTGCTCCTGTTATGAAACTTTTTAAAAAGAAATTAATATACTTATTTTGTACATTTATAGTTAGAAATATCTCTAATTCTTGTTCTTATTATTAGTGTGTATTGACACAATCTTGGATTTTAGAACCAGATTACTATTCAGTTATTTACTTTAAATTATTGTACCTTTTTTCTTTAATCATCTTCTTTTAATTAAATTTCATGCTATACTACAATTGTTTGGATTTATCTCACTTTTAGTGGTTTCTTTCCTTACAGTTACTTCTATTATGCTGTGAATCCGCCATTCTTGAGGTTTTTATTTATTTACCTTTATCTACTTTTGCAGCGTAGGAAGAGTGGTTTATGAGCATCTGCTTCTCTGTGATGCCTGCTCCTTCCCTCCTTCCTTCCCTCCCTTCCTTTCCTTCTTTCCCTGCTTCCCTCCCTCCCTCCCTCCTTCCCTTTCTCTCCTTCTGTTGTGGCTTTTTTCTACCACCTGAAGGATGGCCAACTTGGATGAATATATTTTCCTCTCAAAAGCCTACAGATTGTTCCTTCTTGAACCCTAGTGCCTGGCAAAAAGCATGAGTGTGGTAAAAGCATGAGATCTGTTTGCGGGTCACCTTCCTCCCTGCCTAAAGGCTGGCATTGTTTTCCCTCCACTCTGCCCTTGGTGGGCTCTTTCTGGGTGGAAGCCCCTGCATTCTTACACTGTTCTTGAACGTGGTGTTGTCTTTTGATTTGCAGATGGAAGAGCAATTTTCAATCTGGTAAAGGGCATCAGTTTGCTGGGCTGCCGTAAGGAAATACAACAGCCTTCCTAGCTTAAACAGCAGGAACTATTTCTCATAGTTCTAGAGGCTGGGAGTCCAAGATCAAGGTGCCAGCAGGCCGGTTTCTTCGGAGGCCTCTCTGTGGGTGAAAGCCGTCTCCCCACCATGGCTGCACATGGCGTTTCCCCTGTGTATGTCCGGTCTTCTCATGAAGACACCAGCCAGACTGGGTCAGAGCCCACCCTGTGACCTCATTTTACCTTAATTACCTCTTTAGAAAGGCCCTATCTCCAAACACAGACACATTCAGAGGCACTGGGGGTTATGGCTTCAACATAACAACTAAAATTTGAATTTAGTGTACATTTATAACAAAGTTGGGGGACACAGTTTAGATCCCACGGGAAGTTAAGGTTTTAAAATTATTTTCTTGGTTATTTTCTCTATGTACTTTTGCCTCTTTAAGTTCTATTATGTGGACATTAATTTCAAAGTCCATCTACCTCTCAGCTGTAATTTTAATCTATCTTTTGCTTTCATGGATGGGAGAGATTCTTGTTCTTTATATTTTACTGACGTAGTCGATAGCTGATTCTGTTGTTTTAAATGCAGCAATGCAGGCTTCAAATTCTCAAGGTTTCTTCCTCTTCTTGACTTCCCACTCTATTTTTAGATGACTGAGCTTATCGATCTCACCAGAAAAATGACTTACAAATTTTAAAGTGCTCTGTTTCTTGTGGTAAGTATTTTTGTAGGGGGATATTTGATCTTATGCTACAAAAGAATTATTGCAAGAATCAGAAAAGGACTTTTTCTTTTCATTCTTAGATCAAACATGACCCTATACAATAGTTACTGTAAGAAATAGGAATATACTACAAATGTACTCATTTCACTACCACAAAATTTTTATAAAGAAAGCCAAACCCAGCTTCTATTTGAATATTCACGAGCTGAAATGATGATTGGAAGAGCAAAATTAGTGATGGGAACAGAGTCAGGGCACATCACAGCCACTCCCAGGAGAGACTTCCAAAGCCGAGAGGCTGTGGGTGAGAAGAATCAGGAAATGGCTTCAGTGATGGTGCCTCTTCATGCATTTAAAAGCCCCCAGGGCCGGGCACGGTGGCTCACGCCTGTAATCCCAGCACTTTGGGAGGCCGAGGAGGGTGGATCACCTGAGGTCAGGAGTTCGAGAGCAGCCTGGCCAACATGGTGAAACCCTGTCTCTACTAAAAATATAAAATTAGCCAGGTGTGGTGGTGGGCACCTGTAATCCCAGCATCTTGGGAGGCTGAGGCAGGAGGATCTCTTGAACCCAGGGGGAGGAGGTTGCAGTGAGCCAGGATTGTGCCACTGCACTCTAGCCTGGGCGACAGAGTGAGACTCTGTCTTAAAAAAAAAAAAAAGCCCTTCATGTATCAGCAATAATCTTCAAGGCTTTGCTCTTTTGCTCTTCCTTCTGAGTCTGCAGCAGTCAACACTGAACCAGAAATGCAGGTGGCTCAAGGAAAATGCAGAGGCCCCCTTCCCCTCTGGCCCTGCCTATGGCACAGGCGGCTCAATGAGGCATAGGGCCAGCAAGCAAATCCCCCACCCACCCTGCCCTTCCCAGGAGGAGGAGACAGTTCCAGAAATCTTGTTCTGGAATATCCAGAGTCTAACGATGCTGCTTGGGCGCATCCTACATTGTGAGAATTCTCAGTGTGAGCCAATCGGCCACGGGTATTTTCCAGCATATGAGAGCCGGTGATTGAGCGTAACTTGCACAGGTGCCCAGCTCTAGAGGCAACAGGGGTCTCTGGAATTCAGCAGTGTTGAAATCACTTATTCTCTGGGTTTCACAGAGTGGAAACAGTATCCACACACGAAGCCAACATGTTTATCAGTTAGCTTTCGCATGCGGGCACATAAGACTATATGACTTTTACAAATTAACCAAAGAAATTATGCATTGTGATGTACTCTAAAAAATGTTCTGCAATACTAGATCTTGAGCATTATAATAAATTCTGACAACATCGCTACCTGTTGATTATTTTTTCTGTGGCTGCCCAATGTGGCTGTCATTTCTCAAAGGTGCAAAGACAGATTACTCCCTCAAGGGTCTTAGAGGTGCATTCCTTGGGGTACCCTATGTGGCTGGCTTTCCATGACTAGGATTTCCAGATGAAGGAGACACAGCTGTGTGGGGGGCTGCCCTGACTGGGAGTGGCCTGACAATTTTATTCTGTGTTAGTCACTGCAAGACACAGGCAGTCCCCGTTTTTTTTTTTTTTTGTTTTTTTTTTGGACAGAATCTCACTCTGTCACCTGGGCTGGAGTGCAGTGGTGCGACCTCGGCTCACTGCAACCTCCACCTCCCAGGTTCAAGCAACTCACCTGCCTCAGCCTCCTGACTAGCTGAAATTACAGGCGCGCTACTACACCTGGCTAAGTTTTGTATTTTTAGTAGAGACAGGGTTTCACCATGTTGGACAGGCTGCTCTCGAATTCTTGATCTCAGGTGATTCACCCGCATTGGCCTCCCAAAATGCTGGGATTACAGGTGTGAGCCACCGTGCCCAGCCAGTCCCTTTAAAGGGACAGAACACATCTTCTCAACTGGCCAAACTGAAGATCAGACAGGAGAGGGGACAGGGATAAGGGGGTGGCATCCATCTGCACTTGGAAAAGACAGCCACGTTGGGCAGCCACAGGAAAATAACCCACAGGGAGCAGTGATGTTGTCAGAATTTATCATAATGTTCAAGATTGAGTATTTGTAGAACTTTCTGAGCATGTACCACAATGCATAATTGCCTTGGTTTATTTGTGAAAGTCATATAGTCTGAAGCATCCATATACAACTGAAAGTGCAACTCCAGGAGGGCAGGTGGATTGGTATTCCCAGAAATAAGTCCCTCCACAGGGGAGGGGGTAGATTTGAGGAAGTTATTATTTCAGTGATTCTGACTAAAGAATTTCCTTTATTCTGATTATTTTTTGAGATGGGATCTCACTCTGTCACCCAGGCTGGAGTATGGTGGTGCCATCACGGCTCACTACAGCCCCGACCTCTGTGGAGGGGCATTTGGATTATTTCTGGTATTTGGCTGTTATGAATTAAATGTCGTGGACATCTACATACTACTCTTTGCATGGACAGAGGTTTTTGTTTCTCTTAGGAGTAAAGGTCTGGCTCTTATCATTGGGCAAATGTTTAACTTTAAAAAAAAAGCTGCTGAACTGATTTCCGAAATGACCTGTCCATGGTTCAAGCCATCCATGCATTAGAGTTCCAGGGGCTCCACATCCTCACCTACATGCCTGTGGTCAATCTTCCTCACTCTAGCAGAGTGAATGGGCCCAGCGTCACCTTGCTGTGGTTTAGCTTACACTCCCCTGACGGCTGGTGGAGCTGACCATCCTTCCATACGATGTGTCTGCTCAAATCGTTGTGCAACGTTTAGTGGGTTGTTAGTGTTCTCATTATTGAGTTATAAAAGTAGTTTATATATCCTAGATACAATTTCTTCATCTAGTGTATGTGTTGTAAACATGGTCTTCTAGTCTGTGTCTTGTTTTTCATTTTCTCAGTGGTGTCTTTCAAAGAGCAAAAGTTTTTAAATTTCATAAAGCTTAGTTTATCCATTTTTTTCTTTTATAATTTGAGCTCTTTGCATTCTGTTTAAGAAACCTAAAACTACCTGATTTTCATGAATACTTTTTCTGCAGAGTCCTTGTTGAGTTTTAGGTTTTACATTTAGGTCTGTGACTCATTTTGCATTAAATTTTGCATGTGATGCGAGGTAACAGTTAAAGCTCATCTTTTCATAGGATATCCAGCTGATCAACACCATTTAATGAAAAGGTTATGCGTTTTCCAGCGGGTTTCTTGGGCACTTTAATTGCAATTCAGTTGACCATGTGTGTGGGGCCCTGTTTCTGGATTCCTTTCTGTTCCGTTCATCTATTTCTCTATCTTTCCACCGATACCAAAACAAACTACCTTGATTAATATAGCAGAATTGTTAAGACCTGAAGTAAGGTACAATACATCTTCCAGCTCATTTATTTTCTTTTAAAAGTGCCTTGATTATTCTAGATTGTTGACATTTCCATATACATTTCAGAATCAACTGTCAATTTACATTGCTATTTTATTTGGATTGTATTTTATCTGTACAGGATTGTTACTTTTTTGTTTTTTCATTTTAAGGTTTGGATCCACTTCCTTCTGGACTGTGTGGTTTCTGATGAGAAATGCTTGGTGATTCACATCACTGTTCCCCTCTACATAATTTTACATTTTTCTCTGTTTTAAAACTATTCATAGTTTTATCTTAGAAAATTGGGCTTTCAGGCTAGGTTCAGAAACTTAGGCTTTCAGAATTTTGATTCCAATGCCTCGGGCCATGTTCTCTGCTCTGATCCTGTTTAGTTTTTGGAGACTTTTGAATCTGCAAGCTCATGTTTTCTGCCGGATTTGACACGCTTTCTCGTGTCATTTCCTCCAGCACGATTCCGTGTCCCGATCACTCTTGTCTCCTGGACTCCAGCGGCCAGTCTGGTCTTTCCCGATCACCCCACAGGCCTCTGAGCCCCGTTCACTGTTGTTTCCTTGCTCCTTTTCCATGGGTGGTGCTTATTCATCTGTGCTTGAGGCTCCGGTTCTTCTCTGTGTCCTCTTCATTCTGCTGTTGAGTCTGTTAGGTGCATTATTTCAAGTTTTTATTTTTATGGGTAAATATGGGATTTTTTCCTAAGGAAAAAATATAAATAATATATAAAATACGTGTAATATATATCATATATAAAAGTATATGTAAAATACATGATACGTAAATTTATTATATACAAATATATATAATTTATATTAAAATATATACAAATGCTTGAGGGGATAAATACCCCATTTACTCTGATATGATTATTACACATTGTATGTATGCCTGTATCAAAATCTCTCAAGTAACCCCCTCATATATATAATAAATACATAAATATATCGTATATAGAGAGTAGCTCTCTCTATGTAAAATATATATATGAAAACATATATATAAACATACATATATATTTATGAGGGTACATGAGATATTTGTATACAGGCATACAATGCGTCATAATCACATCAGGATAAATGGGGTCTCCATCCCCTAAAGCATCTATCATTTCTTTGTGTTACATACATTCCAATTATGCTTATTTTAAACTGTTCAATAAATTATTGTTGATTGTAGTCAAATACTATATCTTATTCACTCTATTTTTTTTTGTATCCATTAACCATGCACACTCCCCCTCAACTACGCTTCCCAGCCTCTGGTAACCATCCTTCTACCTCCATCTCCATGAGTTCAATTGTTTTAGTCTTTAGCTCCCAAAAATGAGTGAGAACATGTGAAATTTGTCTTTCTGTGCCTGGCTCATTTCATTAACAGAATGACCTCCCGTTCCATCCATGTTATTGCCAATGACAGAATCCCATTCTTTTCTGATGGCTGAATAGTACTCCATTGTGTACATGTACCACATTGTCTTTATCCATTCATCTGCTGATGGATGCTTAAGTTGATTCTCAGTCTTGGCTACTGTAAATTGTGCTGCAGGGAACATGGAGAGCAGATCTCTCTTCCTTTCTTTTGGGGACCTACTCAGCAATGGGATTGCCAGATCGCACGGTAGCTCTAGTTTTAGTTTTTTGAGCAACTTCCATATGCTCTCCATAATGGTTGTACTAATTTACATTCTCACCAACAGTGTATGAGGGTTCCCTTTTCTCTATATCATCGCCAGCATTTGTTATTACCTGTCTTTCGGATAAAAGTTATTTCAACTGGGGTGAGATGATGTCTCTTTGTAGTTTTGATTTGCATTTCTCTGATGATCAGTAATGTTGAGCACCTTTTCATATGCCTGTTTGCCATCTGTGTGTCTCCTTTTGAGAAATGTCTATGCAGACCTTTAATTGGATTATTAGATTTTGTACCAGATTTGTTTGAGCTCCTAATATATTCCAGTTATGAATTCCTGGTCAGATGAATAGTTTGCACATATTTTCCCCCATTCTGTGGGTTGTCTCTTCACTCTCTTGATTGTCTCCTTTGCTGTGCAGAAGCTGTTTAACAAGATGGGATCCCTTTTGTCCATTTTCGCTTTGGTCGCCTGTGCTTTTGGGGTGTCACTCACGAAATCTTTGCCAGTCCAATGTCCTGGAATGGACTTTATTTTTAGAATAGTTTTAGTTTCATAGCCAATCTGAGCAGAAGACACAGAGGGCTCCCACGCACCCCCCTCCACACAGGCACAGCCTCCCCATCATCGACGGGCTGCGCTGGAGCTGCTTTGGAGTGAGTTTTTATTTCAGGTATTTATTTTTCAGTTTTAAAATCTCTATTGGTTCCCTTTTTGCAGTTTCTAGTTCTCTGCTGAGAATTTCTGTATTTTCCCTCTTTCTGAGTGCATTCCTCTTCCTCGTAGGCAGCACAGTTTGGTCAAGGTAGACACCTGCCGAGTGTGGTGGGTCAGCTGTCAGGTCAGCACTTCTAGTCTTGGTGTTATTTGATTTTTTTTTAAGTAGTTTGAGATTTGAGTTTTAAATCAAAGTTCATTCTATAATCATAGGAAATGTTCACAAAGTTTCAAAGTGAAGACAAAAATACCAGCTGTATAGCCACTGTTCTCTTACACACCTTTTAAATAATGATTCCTATTCTTATTTTGTGGCTCATTCTTCCATTTGTTGTTTTATTAACGTAAACATTTATCAACACGTGGCCTTTTTCTTAGACAAAGAATAGTACATCGTATACACGTTTCCATTTTTGTGGGAACCAAGGGTCGTTTTAATTTTTGCTAAATAAGTGAATAAATTATGGCATAATATTATTGAAAATATTTGACGAAGCAAATAATGTTCTTATTCCCTCATTAGTACTGACTTCAACGGATCAGCAGTTTGTCTTATTAAATTCCCTAACGTAGCTAAGACTGGGGTTATGTCTTAGTAAGGGGATTTCCATTTATCTACTCTGGATTGAACTTTCTGCCATCAAGATTGAAATTTTTGTTTAAAAATGAAAAAGACTGCCTTGTCAGCTATGTCGCATTGTGTGCGTTTGAAGGAGCGACCTCATTCATTTTTGGAGCTGGAGTTTCTTTAGTTCTGTGTTCAACTTTAATATGCCTCCTTCGTTTCCTTTTTCCCCAGATCCCTCTGTTCTGGGAGCCTCCAGTTTAGTGAACAATGCTCAGAAGCAGCAGGCATCCACTCCTAACCGTGAAGGGACTTCAATCAGGAGGCCACGGGCTGTCAGCTCGTCTCCTGCCCTGGCCTGAGGAAATGTGTGTCCTGGTGCAGGCTCTGGTGAGCTTGGTGTTCAGCAGCAGTGAGGCTGCAGGACCCCACAGCACCCTCGCCGGCAGAACAAGAAGGAGAGCTTCGGAGACCTTATTGGTGAACATATGGCAGTCTCTCATTTCCTTACTAAATCAGATGATATTACTGGAACTGGGTCATTATGCACACATTGTAATCTATCGTTAAGCCCAACAAAGTAATATTTAGCTAGCGCTTTAATTGTGCTACTGGGATTTATCTCTGCTTTTCAAAGAAAAAAAAAAAAGTCAAGTGGAAGGGAATGGGGAGAAGAAGCAGGTAATTTTCCATGTTAATAAAAGAGGCTGTCATTTTTGACAAACAAGGTTGCGGCTGAACAACCCGTTATTCTGAGAAGGGTGGAGCCGGGACCTCTTCTGACTGTGGCTGCAGGAATATGTTATTGGAAAGTGGTGACGTCATGTCCTGCCTGCAGCTTCTGTACACGAACGTTAGCAGAGAGGTGTGGTCAGATCAACTCAATGAGGTTGAATCTGTATCTCTTTTTCCACTTAAAGCAAATCCAGAAAGTATATATTTGGCCTACTACTGTTCACTTCTTTGGGCCTTTTCTGTAAACATGCTTTACCCGAATATTATGTCAACTGTCGTTTCTTTTGAGTGGCTTTTGTTTTTTGTACTCAGGAATAAAATGGTTAAAAATCTGTAGAATATAAGAAACATGTTCTGTATCAACAGCATCATCTCCACCTAACCCTGAAGCCCACCTGCCGTGGCGCTTCTTCCCACGGGCAGGGCAGCTGGTGGGCGGCATTCTACAAGGAGGGAGCCTCAGCCCGGAGAACGGTTTGCCTTTCTCTGGTGTCAGCTCGTATCAGGCTGTCATCACCTGCCCTCCAGAGTCATGTATGGAATGGCCACCCTGGGCAGGCCCATGTGGAAGAGCCACACTAGGGATCAGAGTGGCTCTTCTCTTTCAGACACGGCTTTGGGTTATGGGGAGGCAGTACCCCACGGCCGGAGGGGTCACAGGAGATGTGGACGCTGGGCTGCCAGACCTGGGAGACACACCTTTTCTTTCTCACAGCGTGTTAGCAGAAACCATCCAGAGACACTCTGGCTCTGCCTCCAGCAGCTGGTGATAAAAACAAAAACAAAAAACAAACAAAGCAAACAAACAAACAAAAAACCCTGTTTTGTTTTGTTTTCAGTCGGGGTTAATAAAAAAAGCAACTTATTAAATAGCATTTTGACAGACACAGTGGATAATGAATCCTGTTACATAGTTAAAGACCTTTAACAATTAAAAAGATTAAGCCCAGCCCGCATAGAGGATGCCTGAGGAGTGGGAGCTGTGGGGAGCAGGCAGGAGTGCTGAAGCCAGGCGGGGCCACACAGGCAGGCGACAGTGGTGGGCGTGGAGGGGCCTGGGCTGGACACCGTGTGGCCGGCCTTGGAGTCGCGACTCCTGGCTGAACCTGGACCACTGTCCTTCCGTGCGCTGCTGCAGTCCTGCCTGCACTGCCCCACTGAGGGCCAGGGTCTCTAGGGTCCAGCACGGGGTTCAGGCTGTCTCCTGGGACTTCGCTATGACTAAGGCAGGGCTGCAGTCCCAGAGCTGAATTCTGGGACCTTAGTGCAGAGCCTCTGCTCAGAGCCACAGGGAGCAGTGCACGCTGCCTAGTCGGCCTTTACTGCACACATTGAAATCCAGACTTGTTTCCACTCTGCAGACATCATCTCCTGATACGTGTCAGGAAAAGGAAGAACAGGGAACAGCAGTGGAAAAACAGGGAAAAATTTACATTTGCCAGGAGATTTGGGGTGGCAGCCCAGGAGGAATGAAGGCTGATGGTGTTAGTGTGTTCAGTTTAAAATGGAGGTCTGTGCTGGAGACATAGTTACTAAGAACATGAATGAGTTTTAGAAAGAGAATAAACGTCACTGCCTTAATTTAGAGCTTGGATTTTTCCGGGCTGAGGTGTCCCGGAGCTTGTCTGTATGGTCAGATTGGTGACGATGGTCACAAGAGGGCTCTGGAGCGTGGAGCTGTTTGCTGGGAAAGACCTTCTCCCTTTTAGCTGGAAAGTACACACAAGGTTTTGATGGCAAAGATTATGAAATATTTCAGGAATTCTCACAGCTCCAAGGAGAGGCTTTCTTCGTAGCTGATTTCTGTGTGAAAGGTTTGAGGAACATAAACCCAGGAAAATAAAATCAGTGGCTTCTAGGAGCCTATCCAGCTGCAGCTCTGAATACAGACGAGAACGCAGATGCGTGGATGTGGCCCTCTTTGCCTGGCTCCTACCTGGGGAGACGCAGGTGAGATAGATTTCATTAGTCAGTATTCTATATATTCATAAATGATTTATTTTCTTAGGATTAACTCAAAACCTTTGTCCAGAGCAAAGGTGAATGGATTAGTTGTTAAGTCTCAAGTGGTCCAACTACCCGGGGCAGCTCCCACATGGTCCTAAATGAGTCTCAGTAATATTTCCTCGATGCTGAAAAAGTTCATACATCATTACACTGAGGAAGAAACTTAGTTTCCAGTAAGCCACACAGTTTACCACTTACCATCTCTAGGAAACCCTCGGCTCTCCTGGACCCCGTCCAGTTCTTTATTAAGTAGTCTATATTTGAGAGTCTTAGAGATTTCATGTATTGTCGCCCGCCCCACATCAGCTACTAATCTTGAGGATTAGCACGTGCTATTTCATTAACCCTGAGAACAATCCCGAAACGTGGGTATGAGCTACGTTTTGATATTTTGATAATTAGGTCAAGAAAGACGAAACATTTTTTTTCTGTTTACTCTGCTACTTCTAGAAATAAATGTGAAATAAATATCTAATCCTATTTATGTAATATTTCTGATTATTCACCTCATCTATTGTTGAAAATCTGAGCTCCAGTGTTCCTGTCCATTGTCAGAGAATGTAGTCTTCTTTCTTCATTTATTTATAATTTTTTGCATTTTTAAGTCTGTTCAGCAAGATAAATATCTTGAAAGAATTCAGTCCTGTAAATATCTGAGCATGTCCTCCAAGAAAATAGCTTCTCATTTGTTTTGGGATGCAGCCAAACTTTGGTCAATTTTTTGTTTTTTTTGGCATTAAAACCAAAGTTGAAGGCTTAAAAAAAGAAGAACTGAGAAAAACAAGGTGAAACCACCACTAGTCACCATAACTAACTTCTTATACATGAAGAGGAGTGTATTTCCCATCAGGTGACCTGCTCCTTCTAGTTCGCTCTAGATTTAATTAAGAGAAATAGCTCCTGTTTTCTTATCCAGGGAAACCCAGGGACCAACAGGTTGTCCTGTCTGCAAACTCGGCGCAGCACTGTAAGTTAAAACACTTCAGCCGATTTCCAAAACTTCGGAGTCATTACGGTGGGGGATTGCTTGTTGGGACTGGCGACTAAATTGCATTCTGTGCTCCTAGGCTTCTTCTGTGCTTGAACAGTTGTGCTGAAAAACATCCGCATTCACCAAAGTCATCTCCTCAAAGAGGAACTCTCGCAATGACGTGTTAATAGCAGTGTTTTATACAGCACAGCAAATTTAGCCGATCCCTAGAGCCACAACAAATTTTGATATATTCTGCCTCTCTTTCATGGTGCTTATCTGTTTGGTATTTAACTTGCAACTTGTTATCCATTACTCATGCTGTTTGCCAATTTCTCTTCTGTTTTTCATACCACTGTCAAATTAACTTTTTACTGGAATATGCCTGGAAAAGGTAGGTGCAGCTCAAAATAAACTGGTTTGTCATTTGAATTTCTCTTTGCCTGAGTGCTTTATAGAACTTTGGCATTTTATAGATTATAAGTCACTTTAGTGCGCAGGAGGATTTACTGCTATTATCACGAGTCAGTCTATGTCTATCAATCAATCATCTATCTATCATCTATCAATCACTTATCAATCATCTATCATCTATCTATCATCTATCATCTATCTATCATCTATCAATCACTTATCAATCATCTATCATCTATCTATCATCTATCAATAATCTATCAATCTATCTATCTATCATCTATCTGTTGATCTATCCATCTATCTATCTCATCTACCTAAGAGGATACTCTTCAAAGCAATGATTAACTTGGTTTGATGATTATCCATTATTCTTACGAGAGAGAGAAGTGGGACGAGGGTACAATAGATGTTGTTGTGATTCCATTTCATTTAAAATAACATCTTGTTTGGAGGAAACTATGATATTCAAAAAGTTTTTCAGTTGCAAAAGAAAAATATCTACTTCAACTGTATGCATTCTTTGTATTTACTGTGACCCTACAAGTTCAGAGATGGTAGTAACAGATATTTCATATTGTTTTGAGAGGCTGCTAAATGTGTGTATTTATGTGTGGTTATGTGTGTATCTGTGTGATTGTGTGCATATCTCTGTGTGTGTCTCTGTGTATATATCTGCATGTGTGTATCCCTGTGTTTGTGTGTGTGTCTGTCTCTACGTGCAAGTGTGTGTTTCTGTATGTACACATAGGTACCTGTGTGTATGTGTATCTGTGCCTATATTTTTGTGTATCTGTTTGTGCTCGTGTATCTGTGTGTGTATCTGTGTCTATCCCTGTGTGCTTGTGTGTATGTATCTGTGTGTGTGCATGTAGATGTATCTGTGTATATAATTATCTCCGTGTGTTCATGTGTGTATCTGTGTGTATTTCTGTGTGCACATGTGTATCTGTGTGTTTATCTGTGTGCATGTGTGTATCTACGAGTATGTGTATCTATCTGAGTATCTGTGTGTCTGTCTGCTTCTGTGTGCATGTATCTGTGTGTCTGTATCTGTGTATCTGTGTGTTTGTGTGCATATCCGTGTGTGTCTATCTCCCTGTGCATGTGTGTTTCTGTGTATGTTTGTATGTGCATCTATCTCTCCCGCTAACCTGTGTGTGTGGGACACAGGCTGTCAGATCAGCCCAGCACCCAGGCACAGATGCTGAACTCCAGCCAGAATGGAAGGACACGGCCCGGGAAGAAGAGCCACGAGGACGCCGCGGGTGTTCTGGGGAGACCGAGCTCAGCCACCTGTGGACGCGGCCTTGGGCTGGGTGCTTCCGCCCCCTCCTTCTGCAGATCTTGGGTGCTGGAGTTGTCTGGTTTTCTCTCATCCCCCACCCCCAGACTCTCTGAAAATTTGTGAATATAAAGGGGATTCCTGGAAACTGTTCTGCTCTTTGTCAAGATGAAGACAGCAGAGGAGAGATGGCCATGTCACCTGCGTCCCCTCGAGCCTTCCACTGCTCTAGAAAACACCCCTGGGCCACCAGGACTCCCTTTATCAATAGAATCCACCCAGCAAGCCTCAGGACATCCTCCCGACCCCACTAGCTTTGAGGCACACACAGGGAAGGTGGGCTCGGCTTTCATGTTGCAGACACAAGTGTGTCTGTGGCTGCACATTGTGGAGGGAACGTGAGTGCCCAATGCTCCCTGCCAAACAGTGGCAATGGGGAGCAGCTCTTCCCAAACTTACAGTTGGGGTTTGCCACTGTGCGTCTGCATCTATCTACCTGTGTCTGTCCACATCACCTCGGCCTACATCTGCACCTGTCTGTGTCCGCAGCCTCACCCCAACGCACACCCACATCTGCATCACCGGCCCGTGTCTGCAGCCACACCCACACAGATGCCCACGTCCACACCCACACCACGTGCCACCTGCATATCCACGTCCTGTCTGAACTTAGATCACCTCCACACACTTTCATCAGTGTCTGTACCACCCCCTTCTCTATCAGTACCCACATCCATCACACAAACGCCTGTGGGAGCCAGTGTCAGGCCACATCCTCGACGCTCTCTGGAGGAGCTGCCCTAAGTGTCCTGTGCGACAAACACTGCAATTATGAAATCTGTTAATAACCCAGGAGCCTTTCACTCAGGTGCAGAGGCAAGTGAATTGAGAGTGAAATTAAATTATGGAAACAGGTTATGACAGGTGCGATATTTTTCTTTTTACCAAGGGGGGATTTACTAAACGAATACTTTAGGAAAACAGAGGCTCAATTCATTAACATTTTCAGCCCACATTATTGGGGTGTCTCTAAGACACCCAATGAGATGTTCACTGTGGAACTGTTCTCAGGTTTCAGAAACTGAAAGCCGTTTCCCGCTTTCATCTCTGTCTGTATTGAAACGCCAGCTGAAAGCGTCATTTTAAATGTATCACTGATTTTGATTTTTTAATGGAAGTGTATTATGGTGTGGCTTAGAGTGATAATTGAGCTATTATTTCTATGAGGTGAGATGACAACAAAGACTTTCAACTCAGAAAGCTCTGCATTGGAGCCTTGGCTCTGCAGCTGTGCGGCCCGGCAGCTGGGAAGGCGTCTCCACCCACAACGCTGCTGGCATCGTCCTCCGGGAGCTGGAAGTGTGGCCATAGGTCCTTGTCTGGGTTGGACCAACCACCTAGTGTTTTCCTCTGTGCTAGATGATAAATCCAATATGGCAGAGATGATAGTGTATTTTCTGTGCCTCCTGGAGTGACTGGTGCCTAAGATTATGTAATTTATTTATTTATTAGAGACAGGACCTGGCTCTGTCCTCCAGGCTAGAATGCAGAATCACAGCTCACTGCAGCTTCAACTTCCTGGGCTTAAGCAATCCTTCTGCCTCAGCATCTGGAATAACTGGGACTACAGGCATTCACCAGTGCGCCTGGCTAGTTTTTTAATTTCTCATAGAGATGGGGTCTCACTTTGTTGTCCAGGCTGGTCACATATTCCTGGCCTCAAGCTATCCTCCCTCCTCAGCCTCCCAAAGTGCTGGCATTACAGGTATAAGCCACCATGCCCAGCCCAAGATTAAGTAATTTTTTGTGGAATAAATGAGTGGCCATTAACAAATGCTACTGAAAGGTTTTGAACTGGAGTGATGTGACGTGTCTGCATTTTAGGAACATGCTTCGGGCCCAGGGAAAAGACTGGATGGGGAGGTTGAGGATGGTCCCCAGTGGCTGCTTGGGGTGGCCGGGAGGGCGGGAGAGATTTGCAGGTGGCTGGGTTAGTTGGGTTTGGAGACAAGAGCAGGAGGGAGCAGAAGAGTGACAGATGCTGTGGATTTCACAGTGGAGTGGCCAGGAGCATTGGCCACGGCAGGGGCTCTGAGAAACTTCACAGGAGAGACATGGAGTTTGTGCTCGGGTGCGTCTGAGGTGCTCCTGGGGTGTCCGAAGGCCGGTGACAGAAGGCAACAGTGATGGGCATTCAGGAGGTGAGTTTGGGTTGAAGATTCAGCTTGTAGATTCCCAGCCTTTGGTAGTTAGAGCTGTGAACAGGATGAGCTTCTGCACGAAGCCTGCTCCGTGGGATGAAGGCAGGGAACATGTTCTCCCGGGGCGACAAGATCCAGGTTCCTGGAGGGAGGAGGAGCTCTTCTGGGCTGGGCCGCAGCCCACCCTTGCCAGGAGCTCTGTTTGTTACCGGGCATCCTCCCTCTCCCACGCATCCTGCGGAGGGACCACCCTTCTCCAAAGCCCGTCTGTACCCCGTCTCTGCTGAGGAGATGTGCAGGCGCCTTCAGTGAGAACAGCCTCCTCCTTCTCTGCCTCAGCAGCACCCAGGCAGGAGGACCTCCCCACACCACGCTGCTTCAAGCTGGTACTCGCTTCCCTCCGGGAGTGACTGTGAGTTCCCTGTCCGTGCCCCTGGGAACGTGTGACAGCATCTCAATGGCTTTGATCTCACAAACGTTTTGGTCTCAACTATCTCTCCCCCAACCTGTGTGTGTGCGACACAGGCTGTCAGATCAGCCCCAGCACTGAGGCACAGATGCGGAACTCTGGCCAGAATGGAAGGACATGGCCTTACCAGTGGATGGTGAGTGGTTGCTGGATGAATTGATGTTTTGCAGTCAAGCTTTCCTCGTATGTGACGATTTCTGCCTGGTAGTGGAAGTCCTTAGAGAGGGGAGGCTCTGCCCTTGACCTTTCTGTATCCCCGAAGGGCTGTGCACAGAGTAGGTGCTCAATAGATGTGTGCTTACCTCCGTCGACCAATTCCTCTCTCAGCCTCTGGCGTTACTGAAACCCGTGGCCTGCTGAGAAGGAACAGAGAAATGTCTGTGCCCGTCAGTCATGGCCACCGTCAAAGTTGGCTGCTGAATTCCATGGTCATCACATTGTTTATGTTGTAAAGAGGATCTTCCAGGGCGGACCCTCAGGCTGAACAAAAATGAAATAGTGTGTCGTGTCATGAGCTATTCCTCATGATTATTTCCCCCGATTTGGAAGAGAAAGAGAACCTCATGTCTTCATGGACGAGCAACCATTTGATGCCTATTGAGTGCTTGTCATTGGGTTGGGAAGTTGCAAGAGTCCCTTCAAAAACAAGATCATGGCACAGACCAGGGCAGTGCATGAACCCCAACAGGGAAATCTAAGTAAACATCCCCGAGGGCTATGTTACGGGAAAATACAAAGACAGAAGGGAAAAAAAAACCTAAGTTTGAAAAGAGTTGGTGAAAAGAAGGAAAAGGTTACCGGCAGGGATCTGAAATAGACCAAATGTCCTAAGTGGTTTCACTTTAATCGCCCTTGCTGGGGAGAGGCCTGGCCCACGTCACTGTGAGACAACTCCCAGCCTCAGTTCTGGGATTAAATGGATAACGCCACATTCCTTCTCACACTTTCACGATTATTGCCACCTTTTTATGAGAATCAAGCTGTTAGTACCGGGCTTACCTCTGCTGGGGCAGCTTCCTGCAGGTCTCTTCCCAAGACAACCGTGTTCATCCAGTAGTTTTCCTTGTCCTCTGGTTTGAATAAAGTGGGCAAATAGAGTTGTCAATGACCCTTACCCATGACCTGAGAAGCCAAGGCATTTTAGCCGAGTGTTCCAGTCAACGTGGAAAATTCTCAGCTTGCTTGGACGCAGCCCACCATCCAGGAAGAACTGACAGGTTAGGGACACCTGTGCCCGTCTCTGTGTGTGTGCACGCATATGTGTGCACACGTCTGCATGTGTCTGTGCATCTCTGCATGTGTGCACATGCATGTCTGTGTGTTAAGGTATGACTGTGTGTGCCTGCATGTACATGTCTGTGCGTGTGCCCCTGTGTGTGTGTCTGTGGACATGTCTGTGTATGATGTGTGTGTCTGTGTTTCTGTTTGTGCAGGTGTGCACACACCTGTGTTTGTGCCTATGCATGTGTGTTTCTGTGTGTGCACACATCGGTGTGTTTGTGTACATGTGCATATCTGTGTGTTGTGTGTGCCTGTGTTTTTGTGAGTGCACGTATGTACACTTCTGTGTGTGTTTGCCCGTGTGCACGCATGCACGTCTGCCCTGTGGAGCTGGGGAGGTGTGGGGAGCTGCTTTACATGTGAAGGTCGCTCCCCATCTGGCTTCAGCAGCTGTTCCCCTGTGGAGGCGGTGGAAAGGCTTTAGGCAGCCTTTGACCTGGGGTGGGACTGAGCACACAGGACGAGGGTTTCTCCTTTGCACGATCTTTGTTTGAAGTGAATGTGCAGCGACAGGGACTCTGGGCACAATCGGGTAGGAGGCTCCCAGGCTCCCATCCCTGGAGAAGGTTCCTGCCAGCCCGGAACCCCTTGTTCTTCAGCATTGCAGACATGAGTTTTCTGTTTGCTCTCTCGTTCCCTGGCAATTCCCTGCCTTCTCCATTTCACGTTTGCAATTCCCACGTATTTAATAAGTGCTTTGCATTACGTTTAAATCCATGAGCAACATAGATAAGCTTGAGCCATATAAAATGGCTGATAACTACAAAAATAAGTTTCACGTGGTTCAGTCTAATATGTACTTACGCCTCATAATGGACTAAAACACAGTTTTAAACTGAGCAAAAGTCATTACTAGAAAGGAAACGGACAGTGAGCCATCGCCGCCCTCCTCGTACCCGAGTGCTCCAGCTCCCCCGCACGCGAGGCTGGCCTCGGGCTTACGGGGCCAGCGAGGGGCCTTTGTGCCGGCTCAGAGGTGCTCTCTGACCTCATCTTCGCTGCTGGGAAGCCACCTGTGGACCCCCAGGGTCTCTCGGCTCTGTCCCTTCTACAAACCCACACCCGCAGCGCTGTTCTCTGCCCTGCTGTGGGGGCAGGTTCCCTCCGGGAGAAAGGAGCAAGGTGGGCTCCGCGGCCCCATCAGGTCCTGCGGGCAACCGCGTGTGGGGTGTGCAGCAGATGGCCATCCTGGCTCTGTGGGCACAGCCTTGCGGCACGCGTCCTGCCTGCCTGGCTTGCACTTGTTCACATTAACCAGATGTTTGGGCAATTACTTCATTATTAGGGACTTACGCACCTCTTCACGTTTGCAAACAGCTACACAGAGGACCGATTCGTCCTTCTTCTAGTCACCCTTGACATAGGCGAGATCAGGGCAGGCCCTCTTAAAAACGGTGACATCTGTGGGCCATGTCCCTCCTCCAGAGGTGCCAGGTGACCCATACGCCTGGGCTGTTTGAGCACTTGAATCCCCTCAGCCCTGCTTCTGTCTCTGTGCCTCCCCTCTCTCCCTCCCCACCTTCTCTCTCTCCCTCTCTCATTCTCTCTCTCTCTCTCTCTCTCTCTCTCTCTCTCTCTCTCTCCGTCTCTCCCTCTCCCATGCCCTCTGCCCCCGTCCCTGTCTCCCGTCTGGCTCTCCCATGGATACTCAAGCTCAGGCCCCAGATCTGCTTGATTGAAATGTGCTTATCCTTTTGGACAGTAGGAGTGTCCCCGGGCTGCTGTAGCAAAGTGCCACAAACTGGAGCTGAAAACGACAGGTGTTTGTTCTCTCCTAATTCTGGAGGCCACGTGATCAAGGTATGGGCAGCCATGCTCCCTGTGACAGATTGGGGTCCTTCACCGAGGCCACATATCCGAGATCAAGGTGTGGGCAGCTGTGCTCCCTGTGGAGGCTCGGGGTCCTTCCTGCCTCCTCCAGCTCCTGGCGCCACCGTGCTCCCTGTCGGCCCCTGCCTCCCTGCAATGTCCGCCTCCATCCTCACACTGCGGCTCCCCATAGGTCGCTGTGCTCAAACTTCCTTCTTCTTATAAGGACACCAGACACTGGAATTAGGACATCTACCAGGACCGTATTTCCAAATAAGCTCTCATTCACAGCTACTGGGGGTTAGGAATTCCATGTATCTTTTTGGGAGACAGAACTCAACCCAAAACATACAGCAAAATACAAAAGAATAGGAAATGTCAGTGGAGCCATTTGTGGAAAATGCCACTTGCTGCCCCTTCCAGCCCTGACGGCCCCGCTTCCGGGACAAGGCGGCGGGCTCTGCGCCTGAGGGCCCCGCTTCCGGGACAAGGCGCCGGGCTCTGCGCCTGAGGGCCCCGCTTCCGGGACAAGGCGCCGGGCTCTGCGCCTGAGGGCCCCGCTTCCGGGACAAGGCGCCGGGCTCTGCGCCTGAGGGCCCCGCTTCCGGGACAGGGCGCCGGGCTCTGTGCCTGAAGGCCCTGCTTCCGGGACAACGCGCCGGGCTCTGCGTCTGTCGCCCACAGCTTTAGCCCTCAGAACAGAGAGCCACAGCAGAAGGGTGGTCCCTCCTCAGGGCACAGCCCATGCCACAGCTCACCTGAGTATGTGCCTCCTGCCTGGTTCCCAGGAACCGCCAGCTCACTTCTCTACAGCCTGGTATCAAGTGGTGTTCATCCACAGGAGTTACCAGGAGAAGGATGGTTATCACGATTAACTTCATTAATAAATTCGGCCATCGGCTTCCCAGCCCTGAATGAAATGCTAGAGGGCTGACGTTCAGAAGAAGGCCTCTTAGAAAATGGACCATACCAGGAGGGTGGAGTTCGATTTATTTGCATATTTTTTATTAGGGACAAGTGACTGTGGCGTTCTGTCTGTTTAATGAGATCTAAAGTTTGGAATAATCCCTCACTGAACACGATGGAGGGCTGTTTCCACTTGGGATGAACTTCATAGACAAGCCACTTAGCAGACTGCAATATCACTCATTTTAAACTGGGGTTGGGCCAAGGGCGATGAGGTGCAGGTACAGCCACATGACCCGTCCTCTTTCCTCCAGGATAAAAGGAACGTGGTTCTTCAGTAACAGTGTCCAACATGAATATAAGGAATGAAAATCTTGTGGATTTCTGGGACTTTACAGAGTCCAACTTGGAAAACACTGGTTGTATTTTGTTGTTGAAACACTTGAATCCCATCATCAAAACATAAAGGTCTCCTGTTTTGTGGTATATCTATACACACACACACACCTGTGTGTATATACACATGTGTGTATGTATAAATACATGTGCATGTATCTATATGCATTGCTTCGTTTTTATCAGATTTCCATCTGCCATCGTGTGGTGAGGGTAAAGTCCACACATGGAGATGTAAACAGTGAAAACTCAGGATGGTCTTGGCAGAAGCTAGTGCAGTCATTCACAGCTAAGCTGCCTCTAGCCAAGGCATATCTTGAGCTCAGATCTACAAGGAAAACATAACATAATTCTGCTCTCTGATACAAATTCATTGCTCTCAGCCAGCCCTTGCCCTCGCCGCGCACCCCCCACCCCCACTTCTCTTTTGGGAATCTGGTGATCTAGTGTATTCTTGAAGCGAAGATTTATCTCACAGTAGAGGCAAAACGAGAAAACACATGTGTTTAAAGCCTTTTAAATGGAAAAACTATTTTCCTAAACACAAATGACACCGCTAAGATTACCTTGTTGCTAGTTCTCTCTATTAACCAGGTAATTTACTAAATTCTTTATACAGGACAGAGTCCCCAAAGGGAAAACAATATCTGGAAGGGGTCAATTTGACGTTATCAGCACGAAAATGTGATTTGTTTCAAGTCCCATACCAAATAGATGATCAGGATGTTTACCTGATACGTGGGGCTGCCCTCATCTCCCATGCCTGTGCTTTTATTCATAAAGGGAAACATTTTTAAAAGGGAGGTGGGCTGCGCCTAGGGAGGGGGCCACTCTCTTCTTATTGGCATTCCATCCTTTTACCTGTTTGACTTATTTGCTAAAAACGTCACAGAGTTCTGGTGTGATTACGTCCGAGGTCCCTCACTTTCGGCTTCTTTCTGGCGTGCTTTTTGGATTCTTGTCTCCCCTTCTAGAAAGGGCTTTGCTAGCAGGTTGGAAGGTTATTGTGCTGAATGTCTGCAGTCCTTTGAGGTGAAGGAAATCCTACTTCTACCTAAGGAGAATCTAGAGCAAGCTTGTCCAATCCGCCACCCATGGGCCACATGAGGCCCGAAATGGCTTTGAATGTGGCCCAGCAGAAATTCGTAAACTTTCTTAAAACATTATGAGAATTCTGGGAGTTTTTTTTTAAGCTCATCAGCTATCGTTAGTGTTAGTGTATTTTATGTGCAGTCTAAGACAATTATTCTTCTTCTGATGTGGCCCAGGGAAGCTGAAAACCCGGACACCCCTGCTCTAGAGTGAAGAAAGCCGAAATGAGTGGCCAGGAGAGGCTGGGCGAGCTGAGGGTGAGGTGTTGCTCAGGGCTGTGAGCGCACAGGCACCATCCCAGCCGCATCTTGGCCTGGCTCGTCTGTGTCTTTCCCGTTGGAAATAGGGCTGTGGCAGGTTTCCGAGGGCCTCCCCAAGCACGAGACTGTCACCCAGGGCAGATGCTCTGAGCCAGAAGGGAATGTGGCACTTTAAACCACCATGTGCTCTCTCCGGCACGCGGGAGTTCACGCGCCTAAGCTTGTTGCTTGCTTATTCAAACTTGATGATGTCTCAGGGAAACCGGAGCTCTCTAAGTCAACTTGATGAATCTTTCTTGTCCCTGTGGTCATCGTTGGCATGAAGAGACACTTGTGACGATGTTTCCCAGCATTCTTGGCGCTTTCTGAGAGTCACAGTCCCCGCCTGCCTTTCTGGGCTTTTCTCCCTCCTCTCTTGCGGTGGCCACACAATGCCTCCTGGCCAGGACAGACCTGGGCTTCCCCTCAGGGTGGCATCCAGCCTCTCTCCTGCCTGCACCACCTCCTCCACATCTTTCCTGCAAAGGCTGTGGTTGCCTGGTGGTGTCCACTTCCAGGGAGCGTCTGCATGCCTGGCTCCTCACGGCCGTCGCTTTGAATCCTCTCAAAGACATCATCGACCAGGTCAACTAGTCTTCAGGCCCTAGTAGTGGCAGTGGTAGGCTGAGTATGTCTTTCCTTGGGCCCCTGGGTAGTGTCTGCTGACCCACTGTTAGTAGATCTAGATAGGCTGACTCTTGCGGTAGTGTCTGCTGACCCACTGTTAGTAGGTCTAGATAGGCTGATTCTTGGGGTAGTGTCTGCTGACCCACTGTTAGTAGATCTAGATAGGCTGATTCTTGGGGTAGTGTCTGCTGACCCACTGTTAGTAGAACTAGATAGGCTGATTCTTGGGGTAGTGTCTGCTGACCCACTGTTAGTAGGTCTAGATAGGCTGATTCTTGGGGTAGTGTCTGCTGACCCACTGTTAGTAGGTCTAGATAGGCTGATTCTTGGGGTAGTGTCTGCTGACCCACTGTTAGTAGAACTAGATAGGCTGATTCTTGGGGTAGTGTCTGCTGACCCACTGTTAGTAGGTCTAGATAGGCTGATTCTTGGGGTAGTGTCTGCTGACCCACTGTTAGTAGATCTAGATAGGCTGATTCTTGGGGTAGTGTCTGCTGACCCACTGTTAGTAGGTCTAGATAGGCTGACTCTTGCGGTAGTGTCTGCTGACCCACTGTTAGTAGGTCTAGATAGGCTGACTCTTGGGGCAGTGTCTGCTGACCCACTGTTAGTAGGTCTAGATAGGCTGATTCTTGGGGCAGTGTCTGCTGACCCACTGTTAGTAGGTCTAGATAGGCTGATTCTTGGGGTAGTGTCTGCTGACCCACTGTTAGTAGGTCTAGATAGGCTGACTCTTGCGGTAGTGTCTGCTGACCCACTGTTAGTAGGTCTAGATAGGCTGACTCTTGGGGCAGTGTCTGCTGACCCACTGTTAGTAGGTCTAAATAGGCTGACTCTTGGGGCAGTGTCTGCTGACCCACTGTTAGTAGGTCTAAATAGGCTGACTCTTGGGGCAGTGTCTGCTGACCCACTGTTAGTAGGTCTAGATAGGCTGACTCTTGGGGCAGTGTCTGCTGACCCACTGTTAGTAGGTCTAAATAGGTTGATTCTTGGGGCAGTGTCTGCTGACCCACTGTTAGTAGGTCTAGATAGGCTGACTCTTGGGGTAGTGTCTGCTGACCCACTGTTAGTAGGTCTAGATAGGCTGACTCTTGCGGTAGTGTCTGCTGACCCACTGTTAGTAGGTCTAGATAGGCTGACTCTTGGGGCAGTGTCTGCTGACCCACTGTTAGTAGGTCTAGATAGGCTGATTCTTGGGGCAGTGTCTGCTGACCCACTGTTAGTAGGTCTAGATAGGCTGATTCTTGGGGCAGTGTCTGCTGACCCACTGTTAGTAGGTCTAGATAGGCTGATTCTTGGGGTAGTGTCTGCTGACCCACTGTTAGTAGGTCTAGATAGGCTGATGCTTGGGGTAGTGTCTGCTGACCCACTGTTAGTAGAACTAGATAGGCTGATTCTTGGGGTAGTGTCTGCTGACCCACTGTTAGTAGATCTAGATAGGCTGATACTTGGGGTAGTGTCTGCTGACCCACTGTTAGTAGATCTAGATAGGCTGACTCTTGGGGTAGTGTCTGCTGACCCACTGTTAGTAGGTCTAGATAGGCTGACTCTTGCGGTAGTGTCTGCTGACCCACTGTTAGTAGGTCTAGATAGGCTGACTCTTGCGGTAGTGTCTGCTGACCCACTGTTAGTAGGTCTAGATAGGCTGACTCTTGGGGCAGTGTCTGCTGACCCACTGTTAGTAGGTCTAGATAGGCTGATTCTTGGGGCAGTGTCTGCTGACCCACTGTTAGTAGGTCTAGATAGGCTGATTCTTGGGGTAGTGTCTGCTGACCCACTGTTAGTAGAACTAGATAGGCTGATGCTTGGGGTAGTGTCTGCTGACCCACTGTTAGTAGATCTAGATAGGCTGATTCTTGGGGTAGTGTCTGCTGACCCACTGTTAGTAGGTCTAGATAGGCTGATTCTTGGGGTAGTGTGTGCTGACCCACTGTTAGTAGGTCTAGATAGGCTGACTCTTGGGGTAGTGTGTGCTGATCCACTGTTAGTAGGTCTAGATAGGCTGACTCTTGGGGCAGTGTCTGCTGACCCACTGTTAGTAGGTCTAGATAGGCTGATTCTTGGGGCAGTGTCTGCTGACCCACTGTTAGTAGGTCTAGATAGGCTGATTCTTGGGGTAGTGTCTGCTGACCCGCTGTTAGTAGATCTAGATAGGCTGATTCTTGGACCTCCAGGTGTCTTGCTCCAATGACAGTAGTGGCAGCAGAGGGCCAGAAGGGTGGTCAGGTTCTCGGGCCCCTAGGCTGCAGGTATGGCATGGAGGATGGCAACAGCAGTGGCATGCTGGTGTTAGTGGTGGCTGCAGTGGGCTGGAAGTGCCAGTTTCCAGGCATTCAGGTTGTGCATGCAGGTAGGGGCCGGCTGTGGTGATAGCAGCGGAGTGGCTGGGCCCACCCAACCTCAGGCCTCTGGGAAGTGGTCAGGTGCCAGCGGTGGTGAATGTGGCTGGGCAATCCCCACGCCCCCAGACTGCATGCTCTGGCATGAAGTGCGCATGAACTTGCACTGGGTGTGTTTGTCCTCAGGCCCCCAGTGGTGCGTGCAGGTGCTGGCCGTAGGCAGAGGTGAGATGATCCCCAGGCTCCTGGCAGAATGCTCAGATTGGGGATGTCAGCACCTGCACTGTGGCCCTGCCTCTGGGGAAGGAGGGGTTGATTTCAGTGGCCGCTGAAGACAGGGGGTGGTCGGAGGGATGCACACTTGGCTTGCGCCTCTTCGTCAGTGGTGGCGGTTTACACGTCACTCACATCCCGGCCCTGGCAGCAGCAGCTCACACCCCACTTGCACTTCAGCCTCGGCAGTGGCAGCCCACGGTGACAGCAGCTGCAGGTGGGGCACCCTGCCTTGTCACCTGAAATGCATGGCGGCCCCACTGCCAGTGGGGTGATGCTGCTTGTGGCCACACCTCAGCCCTGGTGGTGGCAGCTGCACATGGGAGATGTCAGTGGGATTCTAGGGAGGTGGAGACACAGGTGCCACAGGACAGGGCACAGTCTGTTGGGGGCTGGGCTCTCAAAATGCTGCTTTGCTGTAGCTGTTTAGGACTCAGGGTGTGCGTGGGACCTGGCGTGAGCTTCCTCTCTGGAGCAGCACTGCGACTGTCTCCAGGAAGCTCCCTGTGTCAGGTTCCCCTCTAGCGATGGTCGAGGGGCTCTCCCATGGCCAACGATGCAGGAGCTCACAGTGGGGATGTGAACCCTGGGGGTTTCTCCCTCACCCCTTCCCCACATTGGGACATCTCTCTGGGCTCCCAGCCCATCCTGGCCGGGAAGGCTGCCTTGCCCTCCTCTCCTTCCCTGCTGGAGAGGCTTCCTGTCCCTTCTCTGTTCAGCTCATGTGTTCTCGTTCGTATGATCTACTTGAAGTGTGATTGTCTAATGACGACTTTTGTTCTTTGTGGAGAAGGCAAGTTGAAGATGCCTCTAGTCAGCCATCATGGGAGCCCCTCAGAGTGTTTTAATTTTTTAAAGTTTTTAACTTTTAATGCAGAAAAATTTCCACTTGAAGCATTCAGCCAAGTTCTAAAGATATCTTCACGCCTGTCCTGTTGTATCATGTTAACTTTTCCCTCATTGTATTCATCCGGTAGTTGATTATTTATGGAACTGTACTGATGTTAATGTTGTACTTTTTACCTTACTGAATTATTTCACAATTTATAACATTGTTAGGTGATGTTGTGTGTGTGTGTGTGTGTGTGTGTGTGTGTGTGTGTGTGTGTGTGTGTTTCCTAAGTAAGCAACCCTTTCATCTGCAAATGATGAGTGATTCTCCTGTGGTCTCGGTTCCCTACCACCTTCCCTGCCTGGGATCTGCAACTTCCCAGTCCCTGGCTTAGAGACACGTTTCAACCACTACCAAATGCTTGCAAACTTGTCCTTAACGCACCTCAGTTCCAGCTTTCCCCTCCTTTCCCATCATAATCCCCACACACGGCTGCTGCTTCTCAGCATCTAATATCTGGTTACCGTAACTCATTTATATGTTGCTGTGGAGCAGATGACAGGGTTCAGGACATCGACTAGACCCCAGGGACAGAAAAGCACAGGAAACAGACCTGGATCTTAGTGACCTCTCCATCTGGGTTTCAGGCGACTCCCCGCATGCCTGTGAGGGACTCCTGCTCCCTGGAGTTTCACAGTTCTGGGCTTCTCCCACTTCTGTGCAAGCCAGAAATGCCTGGACACCACACCTCGTTTAGTCAAAACAGGGTCCCTATACAATACTCAGCGATGCCTGAACATCTTATGCCCTGTCTAGTCATGACAGGGTCCCTAAACAATACTCAACACTGTGTCTATTTTATAGAAGAAATGGAGATTTGTGACTTGTCTTTGTTCCATAGGCAGTAAGTGTCAGACCCGGACTTCAAACCCAGTCTGTCTCCCAAGGTCGCCCTCCCTCTAAGAAGTTTCTAACCTTTGGCTCCGCATCCCCGTCCTCACTCCACTTCCTTAGAATCCTTCTCATGCTACTACCGCATGGATATTTCAACTTGGATTTCCTTTCTGAGCTTCCCTCCTCAGCTGCTATTCCTTCCTCCCTTTGCCTTTAAGTGTTTGCTTTTTAAAGACGTGTGGACACGTCGCACCATTGTTCCAAAGCTACAGACGACTTTCTGTTACCACCAGCACACATTCGCCCACGCAATGACATTCCCAACTTTCCATTCTCTGGCCAGTTTCCCCTTCCAGCCTTATTTTCCACTCACTTTTCCCAGACACCCTTTAAACACCCTCTTCCCTGCCTGAACTTCCCTGACAGGGACCATGTCATTCCAGAACATGCCTCCACATTTTCCTGCCTCTGTTTAGACTCTTCTCTCTGACTTTATCTCCTTCCCTGCTTGACAGACTTCAGTCTTCTCAAACCCAATTGAATCGTCTCTTCACGTATGAAATAATCCTTCACGGCTAGACATAACGAACATTATCTGTCACCCACAGCATGAACATCACCTTATATTTATCTTAATGATTTGTCTATAGAGCTATGCCCTGACTAGAAGTTGAGCTTCAGCTGGGCACGGTGGCTCATGTCTGTAATCCCAGCACTTTGGGAGGCCGAGGCACTTTGGATGATTTGAGGTCAGGAGTTTGTGACCAGCCTAGCCAACATGGCGAAACCCCATGTCTACTGAAAATACAAAAATTAGCTGGGCGTGGTGACTAGCGCCTATAATCCCAGCTACTCAGCAGGCTGAAGCAGGAGATTAGCTTCAACCCAGGAGGTGAAGGTTGCAGTGAGCCAAGATGGTGCCACTGCACTCCAGCCTGGGTGACAGAGTGAGACTCTGTCCAAAAAAAAAAAAAAAAAAAAAAAAAAAACGGAGCTTCATTTTTTTCAAGCAAAGATTGTGCATTACAGTAGTTGGCATTTTGGTAAGTACTCAGTAAGTGCTTTATTATTAAATGAAAATGTTATAATATTTTGCTGCCTGTCTTTGTAGGACATAATTGACAGCTGTGAATAAAACACATGCTATGTTCTCCTTTTTGCTTATTGACATGGAATCTAATTGTCATGTTGTAATGTTGAGATTTCTTCATTTACTCTTCCAGAGTAATGACTCCTCTGTCTTGCTGGTGGGCGTTTTATATTGTACAGCAACAATTCATTTTATGTTACGTAACAGCAATTAATTTTCTCAATTCACAGATAAGGATACAGAGTTACAACTCACTACAGTTAATGACAGTTTCCAGCAACCCAGTATGGCCTCTGGGGCAAACCTCCGAGGGACACCACCACAATAATCATATCCATTACTATATTCAATTCAACAAATGCATATATAAATATAAATTAATATGTACCAGAGATCGTTGTAGGCACCAAAGCTATAACGATGATGTTAATAACGCAGCAGTCCTATAGGGTCGGCTGTGTGCTCAGTGGAAATATTCTGAATCCTTGAATTCTTCAAACTGCTCTTTGAGACAGGTGGTGTTTTACATGGTCTTATAGGACTGTCACCTGGGCCATGGGGCGGTAACGGACTGCAGCCACATGACATAGTGAGTGGAGAAGCTGACCTTGGAATTCTGATGTGCAGCGCCCACCTTAACCGTGTGATGTGGTTGTTCTCACGTGTGGATGTGCTAACCTGTGGTCGGCGCCCACATGTGGACGGTGCTCTTGTGTGGATGGTGCTCTTGTGTGGACAGTGCTCATGTGCAGGTGGTGCTCATGTGTGGATGGTGCTCATGTGTGGACGGTGCTCTCGTGTGGGCGGTGCTCATGTGTGGGTGGTGCTCATGTGTGAACGGTGCTCATGTGTGGGTGGTGCTCATGTGTGGGTGGTGCTCATGTGTGGACGGTGCTCTCGTGTGGGCGGTGCTCATGTGTGAACAGTGCTCATGTGTGAACAGTGCTCATGTGTGGGTGGTGCTCATGTGTGGACGGTGCTCATGTGTGGACGGTGCTCATGTGCAGGTGGTGCTCATGTGTGGATGGTGCTCATGTGTGGACGGTGCTCTCAAGTGGGCAGTGCTCATGTGTGGATGGTGCTCATGTGTGGACGGTGCTCTCGTGTGGACAGTGCTCATGTGCAGGTGGTGCTCATGTGTGGACGGTGCTCTCATGTGGACGGTGCTCATGTGTGGATGTGCTCACGTGTGGATGGTGCTCATGTGTGGGTGGTGCTCATGTGTGGGTGGTGCTCATGTGTGGGTGGTGGTCATGTGTGAATGGTGCTCACGTGTGAATGGTGCTCATGTGTGGGCGGTGCTCATGTGTGGACGGTGCTCTCGTGTGGGCGGTGCTCGCATGCGGATGCTGCTGCTCTGAGACACACCAGTCCTCTGCCTTCAGGACAGCTTAAATGGTTCACAGATGTCTAGACACTTCTATGTCTCTAGGAGATTATGTTCCACAATCTCCTTTGTGGAAATTCTCTGAATTCAGGACCCATATCTGCTTTTCATCATTCTAGCTCAGCGGTCTAGCATCACCCTGGTGTATTTTAGATGCAGTAACTATTTTGCCAAATTGATTTGAATCACACTAAAAACCTGAGCAGGAATTTACAGGGTTTGTCTAAAACGTTGAGTACCATCTCCATTCCTCACAGCTCACTGCTGTGGAAGGTGGCTCTGCTTCTCTTTTGTGGCACAGGATTTCCTTCTGGGGCAAGAGATGAACATTTACTCTCGAGGAAAAGCGCATCCTTCTCTCCAGTGTGCTTGGAATTCCAGTCTAGGAGTTCACTGAGAAGCAACAAACTCACGTGTAAGCCTGACTGAGGAGAGATGAATCACTGACCTGTGGAACTGTCCACCCAGGAGCAAACTGCAGGGGAAATTCCCAGTGTGGGGAGATAGTCTTGAACCAAAGAAAATATGCTTCGGGGATGAATTTTATCATTAAGCCTGAGGAGTTGACGTCTGAGAAAGCCAGGGGCCGTGGTACATTTCCTTCAGTGTTGCTGTGTAAATACCTGGCAATCAGACAGCTTCCCTCCTCTCAGGCCTGCAGGGCGCAGACCACTGGCCCCCAGGTCTTACGGCAGGTCCTGGGCCGGAGACTGGTCTGCAGCCAACGCCACCAGCGCCCAGGCTCTCCTTGGCCGGCCGGGTACACTGTTGCCATCCAAAGCACACAATATTGGTGGTGTCAAGAGAGTGGACTTCAAGACAAAACTACTTGTTTTGTGAAAATAGTCACACACTGACACGGACTCCTTTAGGACTGATCCTCTAGCTTGTCATGCGACTCTTCCACCGTATAATGGAGGCTGAAGGAAACAGCACGAGGTAGATATTCTCTGGTGAGGATGCACATAGTTATCCCGAGTGGTGTAAAGTTAGAGGAGATGTGTGTCTCAGTCTCACTGTGGTGACCATGACCCTTTCTTTCTGCTATGAAGTTGCTGGTTATTTTTAAATGTGAGTGACACGGGATTGTAAAGTTTGTACGTGGCTACAGCATGGCACAGGGTTGGCTTTGCGATGCCTTAGGATGTCTGAGAATCACGGGCTTCTTTAGTGAGAATTTTTTTTCAGAACATGCAATTATGCTCCCTGTGTGTGAAAATAATCATAGGAAGCGATGCTTGGGGGGTTTTCAATGACAGATGATCAGAAAAGCGGAGGTGGCCGCCTTGGGCTTTACAGAGGAAGGGGAAAGCCACGTTGCTTCCTAGGGGCCCACAGAGCCACCGCCCGTCTGCGGACGGCGAAATGTGTGAGAAAGCAAACTCGGAAAATTCTCATATGCATATGAAAAATCACCGCATGAAAGGGGGCCGGGGATTAGGACAAGATAAATTTATGCCCGGCTTTGCACATTCCGTTGACAAATTTGCTGTTTTTGCGTTGTGGCCTCCGACCTCCTGGTTACCGAGGGGATAACATTAAATGGAGAAAATGGCTTATTCTGTGCGATAAATTCAAACAGAGATGACGCACTTCGCCCACCAAGTATACCTAAGAAATTGTGGGGAAATGCCAAGCATTTCAAGAGAAAGCTGCTGTGAATTCTGGCGCTGGCGGCTCGAGCGATTTCTGCAGAGGAGAAAGGTCTCTTTGTTCAAGCTCAGCTGACTCTCAGCGTGTGGAGTGTCCGCAGCTAGGGGGTCGCATGGAAGCTGAAGCAAAGAAAGGAAACCGGAGATGTGACAAAACGCTGGCGCTAGAGGGCTGAGGCGCGAGGAGGCCGCTTTGACAGGGCCGCGGCACACGGAGCTCGGGCCCGGGCCCTGGCTCGCCTCCCTCCCTGCCACCCGCACACTCTTCTCTGCCAATGGGGTGCCCTTCCCCGGAAAAGCCACTGCACAGCGGGTCATGGGGGCAGCAGCGAGGGGCAGTGGGTGCCCCCTATTCAGAGCACCGTCACCACTACCCGGCCAGGGCTGCCAAGAAACACGCATGGACTGTTGGCGGTGAGGCCTCCGTGCGTCTTAATAACAGCGAGATGGAGCAGTGTTCTCCATTCAGCACTTGGGGAAACAGAGAGGAGGAAAGTCTCTCCAGCAGATGCTGGGAATTTGTTTTGATTTGGATCACATTTCATTTGGGAAAATAAAGAAACTAAAAGGAAAAAGAACACACACACAAATCCTCAGCACTAAAAACAAAATGAAACCACCCTGGCCTGCTGATGGCACATTTATGTGGAGTGGCAAAGGCTCTGGCGGTGGCCCTGATTCAGGTCGGGGGTGGCAGGGAGGGAGGGCTGCTCCGGGTGGGGAGAATGAGGGGGTGGGGGGAACAGGACAGAGACCACCCCCGCCACTGCAGCAAATTAGCCATTCACAGCCGTGTTCACACTGTAGAGGGCTTTCCCCAGGTGACCCTTGGGGGCCAGGAGGGAGGAAGGGCAGAAAGGCCACCTCCTCTGCGCCCACTGCATGGCTGCCGGTTTCCACATCAAAGCCTCCTGCCAGGAGCTAGTGGCAGCTCTGTCCTCAGTGCCCTGTGACAAGCTTGGTACGCACCTCTCCCTGGCCTTCCCTCATCTCAGGACAAGGTGAGTTTCCGCAGTGCCTGTGTGGACGCAGGGCCTCTTCAGCTGCCGGACGCCGTGCTGGAGTGAACTTCACTGGCTTCCAGCCTCCCTGCCTCCCCGCCCTGCTGGGTTTCAATCTCTTCTGCCCGAGCACACGTTATCCACCTGTCAGAGCGGCTGCTGATAATCCCTGTGACATGGGCACTATTGGCCTTTTTAAATGAGAGGTAAAGATTATCCCTGCGTGATGACAGGAAAGCAGCGCAGGCCCGTCCTGCTCTGTGGCCAACACCGTGCTCTGTGCGGCTGGCATCCTCAGGTCCATCCTCCTGGTCGACACCGTGCTCTGTTGGCCTGGCATCCTCAGGTCCATCCTCCTGGTCGACACCGTGCTCTGTCGGCCTGGCATCCTCAGGTCCATCCTCCTGGTCGACACCGTGCTCTGTCGGGCTGGCATCCTCAGGTCCATCCTCCTCCTGGTCGACACCGTGCTCTGTCGGGCTGGCATCCTCAGGTCCATCCTCCTGCTGGTCGACACCGTGCTCTGTCGGGCTGGCATCCTCAGGTCCATCCTCCTGCTGGTCGACACCGTGCTCTGTCGGGCTGGCATCCTCAGGTCCATCCTCCTGGTCGACACCGTGCTCTGTCGGGCTGGCATCCTCAGGTCCATCCTCCTCCTGGTCGACACCGTGCTCTGTCGGGCTGGCATCCTCAGGTCCATCCTCCTCCTGGTCGACACCGTGCTCTGTCGGGCTGGCATCCTCAGGTCCATCCTCCTCCTGGTCGATACCGTGCTCTGTCGGGCTGGCATCCTCAGGTCCATCCTCCTGCTGGTCGACACCGTGCTCTGTCAGGCTGGCATCCTCAGGTCCATCCTCCTCCTGGTCGACACCGTGCTCTGTCGGCCTGGCATCCTCAGGTCCATCCTCCTGCTGGTCGACACCGTGCTCTGTCGGGCTGGCATCCTCAGGTCCATCCTCCTGCTGGTCGACACCGTGCTCTGTCGGGCTGGCATCCTCAGGTCCATCCTCCTCCTGGCCGACATCGTGCTCTGTCGGGCTGGCATCCTCAGGTCCATCCTCCTCCTGGCCGACACCGTGCTCTGTCGGGCTGGCATCCTCAGGGTTGAGTTAGGCAGCAGAGGGCGCAGGGGCAGCTCTGACTCCAGCAGCTGTAGACCTCAAAAGGAGTCTAATCTCAGACCCTGAGTCTCCCCGTGGACAGTGAAGACGCTGCGTGCCGCACAGGTGAAGGGGCCCACTGGGGAGCTTAGTTCAGGGAGTCCTCACGCAGTCCCCAAGCTCTGCTCTCCTCTGGGAGCTGCGCCGTTCTGTCTCACGAAGGTGAATGATCCTCGTTCCTGCCGTCAGTCCACCAGGAGCACGGCGTCTCACCAGGCAGCCCCAATGCCGTGTGCACGAGTCACATTGATGTTTGCTGCAGGACACTCTGGGAAACATAGAGGGGATGGGCCATTCCTACTGGAAGGGTGTCCACTGAAACTTCTTGGGAAGCCTTGCAGGACAAGCAGCACTCATCTGTGTGTGGGCTGTGAAGGGAGGAAGGTGTCAGAGCCAAGGGGAAGGTGCAAACCGGGCCAGGGCCAGGGCCAGAGGGTTCGGTGCACGTGGGCAGCACACACAGTGCAGCCCTGAGGAGCCTGGGGCTTGGAGAGGGTCAGACCCTGGGAGCCCCTGGCTCCCACTCCCCTGGGGACGTTCCTGTCTCATCTCAGAGACACCATGGGCAGCAGCGCTGGGGCATGGCCCATCAGGTCTCCTGCCTGTCCCCAGTGTACCCTCGGCTATGTTTTACTGCAGACGAGGCAAACACTCAGAGGCAGCTGCAGCAGCTCTGTGTCAAAGGGAAGCCGGATCTGCCGTGGGGTTCTTTCCAGGACCTCACCATTGCGTGCTTCTCGTGGCCAAGCAGGCCCCCTGCACAGTGCCCTGAGCCAGCCTGTGTTCGCTGGGAGCCAGCAGGAGGCGGGGAGACCCTCTGCGTCACCATTTCTTTTTCTGGAGGAAGCGGGTAAAGAACAGCTCTGAGGGCAGTGGGGCTGCACCACGGAGGTGGGAACAGGACCCCAGCACCCCATCCGAGCCCTGTATGTGGGAGGGAGAAGGAACCAGGAGGTGAGGGCTCAGCCGGAGCAGCTGCTGCATGCGGGGAAGGAGTCTACCTAAGTACTGTGAAGTGCTCATTCGGCTCCCACAGAGGCAGCGGCAGATTGCCCGAAACTATCGCAGTCGGTGCCAGCCAGAACGTTCCCATTAGGCAGAGCACATGGAGCCTCGTTTACCCTCATCTGGGGCTTTAATGGAAGTTTTAAGTCAATGGGAAATTCAAGCTTTGGATGAGCAGTGAATGTGGCCTGGAGGTGGTGCAGGGCGCAGCGGTGTCAGCAGAGTCACAAGAGGTGGGCGAGACGGCCATGCCCTGTCCCGGTACAGCAGGCCAGCGCTAAGGATCGAGACGGCCATGCCCTGTCCCGGTACAGCAGGCCAGCGCTAAGGATCGAGACGGCCATGCCCTGTCCCGGTACAGCAGGCCAGCGCTAAGGATCGAGACGGCCATGCCCTGTCCCGGTACAGCAGGCCAGCGCTAAGGATCGAGACGGCCATGCCCTGTCCCGGTACAGCAGGCCAGCGCTAAGGATCGAGACGGCCATGCCCTGTCCCGGTACAGCGGGCCAGCGCTAAGGATCGAGACGGCCATGCCCTGTCCCGGTACAGCGGGCCAGCGCTAAGGATCGAGACGGCCATGCCCTGTCCCGGTACAGCGGGCCAGCGCTAAGGATCGAGACGGCCATGCCCTGTCCCGGTACAGCGGGCCAGCGCTAAGGATCGAGACGGCCATGCCCTGTCCCGGTACAGCGGGCCAGCGCTAAGGATCGAGACGGCCATGCCCTGTCCCGGTACAGCGGGCCAGCGCTAAGGATCGAGACGGCCATGCCCTGTCCCGGTACAGCGGGCCAGCGCTAAGGATCGAGACGGCCATGCCCTGTCCCGGTACAGCGGGCCAGCGCTAAGGATCGAGACGGCCATGCCCTGTCCCGGTACAGCGGGCCAGCGCTAAGGATCGAGACGGCCATGCCCTGTCCCGGTACAGCAGGCCAGCGCTAAGGATCGAGGTTAATGAGACGGGCACGCGAGGGGCTCACCTGCTTCTCATGCTAACGTGCCCCGCAGTGGCTGGAACGCGTGAGCTGTTTTTAATGTTGAGGACGAGGGATGAGAAGATGAAGCGTCCTGAGGCAAACACTCAGAGGCAGCTGCAGCAGCTCTGCGTCAAAGGGATGCCAGTCTGCCGTGGGGCTCTTTCCAGGACCTCACCATTGCATGCTGCTTGTGGCCTGAGGCGTCCTGAGGCGTGATGTGTAAAGTGGCCTTTCTGTTTATCTCAGTCTGTGTGGAGGCTGGTTTCAGGGTGTGCAGTCTCTCCTTGGAACCGTGCTCAGGACAGAAGGCCAGGCTGCAGAGCCTCCTCCTGCCTCCTGCCAGTGCCTTGGGCTGGGCCCAGAGGAGATGCCCAGCCAGGGGTTGGAGTTCAGCTGCCATTAGTCCATGGGTCACCCTCGCCTCTCACAGGGCTGCTGGTGGTGGATCACGTGGAGCAAAGTGAGATTTTTTACAAAGGGGCTCTGCGGCAGGTGCCGTTCTACTTCAAATCTTCAGTCTTTCTCGCTCCACGGAAAGGTGAAAGTCCGTTGCACCTCTCTCTGGTCAAAACGCGTGCCCACGTTGACACCTTTACTATTGAGAGCCCGTGGTGTGCACGCCACAGTCACATCCATGGTGTCACACCTGCTTCCTGGCGGACACAAGCTGAAACCTGGCAGCAGAGGTAACATTTGGAGACTGCATGTTTTGCCTTTGTGGTTGCTTTTCTGCATTAGAGGAGCACAGGCTGGACCCCAGGACTTCGCCCCTGCTGCTCCCTAGGAAGGGGGCCCCACCCTGGTGAGGCACTTGGGGGTGGGTGAGTGTCTGATAAAGGGGAGGCCATGGCAGCAGACCTTCCCGGAAACTTTCACCCTGGCAGGTGAAGAAGCAGGGGCTGTGGGGATGTGGCCGGGATGAGGCATGGCTGAACAAAGGCACCGAGAGACCTGAGGGCTGGGCCACTCTCAGCCTCACGGGCTGATGGTCCAGGGTTGGCTGGCATAGAGGTTAGAAGGAGGCCTGTCTGCTTTTGCCATGAGTAGTGGACAAGAAAACGCGCTTTCTTCACAATGGGCCGTTCTCTTCACCCAAGATCTGGGGTTATGAAGAATTAAACTTGCACATTCCTACATCCAGTCGGAATCGGCTCATACCTCACCGCCGTGCATTGTGGTGACCCAGCTGATGTGGAGACAGATGTGGCTGGAGGTAGTGTTGCAGAGGCTGGTAATAAAAACTGTAATCATCTGGAATATCTGCCAAAGGGCAAAACTGCAGTTCGCCCAAGAGGCAGTGTGTCAATGCCCTTTTTATGTCACCCCCCAGCACCCACCGAGGCCCTGGCATTTACGGCCCTGACAGCTTGTCTATAAGAAGCCCCGCTTGTGAGGGATTTATAACTCAACCATAAAAACCCACTCTGAGTTTAAGGCTGGCATGCGGGAACTCAGCTCAGAAGTGAATTAATTAATGAATTTGTCCTTTCTTTCATCAATTTGACTGACACGTTCAACCATACCCCTTGAGATGTGATCTCAACAGATCTTATAAAACAGAAACTTTAGGCTTGGCCAATGCCTGGAATGAGAGGACGCTGGTGGAAATCAGCTGCCCTGTAGGAACCGGGGAATGGGAGTCGGTTCCGTTAGGGCCTGGCAGGCGCCACAGGCTGTGGCTGACCGAACAGAGATATTAAGGGCTGGGAGACCTGAGTTTGAGTCCAGACCCTGGCCAGGGGCTCCTCTCTGAGCCTCTGCGGTTTTGTGCAAGGTTGGGATCCTTCTTCCCTGCCCAGTTGTCCCTGGGGTGCAGGAAAAGGGAGCAGCCTCCTTCCTTTCCGCTTGTTACTGCTCCTCCCTAGGGGATGGCCTTTCTCAGCAGGTGAGGTAGGGAGGGGTCTCTGTGCCTGTGGCTGGTAGAGGCCCCACACGACTGGCCTGTGCTCACCCCGAGCTGACCCTCCAGACCCCGTCCCTCCAAGCAGGGCCTGAGTAAATAACTGGTTTGTCCTGGAGGCCAGGGTACACTCTGCCTGGAGTGGACGAGCTTCTGCATGCACCGTGGGGTGGAGGTGGCAGCCGGGCAGTAGCAAGGCTGCTCTTGGGTGGTGTGAGAGTTTTCGTCAGCCTAAAGCACTGTGTGACCAGTGCTCATAGCCATGAAACCGTTAGTGTAGTGGAAAATCCACCAGAGTATTTGTGAGTTCAACATCGTGACTCTACAGCACTCCCACGGCATTCCGAAGGTCACCCAGAAGGAAGAAGCGCTGAGGGGCCCTCGCTCAGAGAACGAGAAAGGTCAGCACCTGCCCTGGGAAACTGACCTCAAAATTTCACGAGGTGACCTTTGCTGTGTGGTGTACCCCAGAGGCGTTTTACCAGGGTGATCCTGACACAGGTTCCTTCTGTCTCGGATGGGATCTGGGCCGTCCTGCAGTGACAGCGCCATGCTCAGGTGGGGCCCTGTCTTCACAGAGGGTGACTTTGAACGCTGGGCTGGGAGTCATCGGCTGCCCCTCCACAGAGACAGAGACTCCACGGGTGCCGAGGCTGCAGTCCTGGGGGCATCTGCCCGAGCTGTAGATCCACGAAGGGACCGAACAACTCGCGGACACCTGAGACCCAGGTATGAATACAAGGAAACAGAGGTAAGACCTTCAGCATGAGGGGAGACAAGGAGTGGTGCAGACGGAGGACGGAGGGAAGAATGAAAGATGGGAGGCAGTGATGGGCAGCAGGGCCGGGTGCACCGTGCCTGTTCCCACTGTGCCACAAGCATAATCTCAGTGGGAGAGAGCCCAGGGCTCCTTGCTGGCAATCCTTTGAAAATATTGAATTATAGAACGAGATAGATAATAAGCAAATGGACTCTTAAAATATGAATTCGCACACACATTATGTCTCTGGGCCCCGGCCTCTTTGAGTGTCAGCTAATTCAGCCAAGGTCTAAAATTAGATCGAAAACTACATATTATCTCTTGTTCCAAGAGGGAAATGTGGCACTGACTAGGGGGTTTGCCAGCCTCCAGGAAAGCCACGTTTTGGAGACCAGAAGGTGAGGTGTGCATGGTGTCCTCTGTGGGGGACTCTGCAGGGGTATGGGAGAAGCCTGGTCAGCAGCTTCTCTGCCTGCTCTGAGGGACAAGGAGGGACTTCTCTGTCTGCTCTGAGGGACAGGCATCTGTCCTGGCCCTCTGTGCACCCTGGTGCTGCATAGGTCTGGAGGCACTTGCTGTAAGGGAAAGAGTGGGTCTGGGGCAGATGGGAGAGCCACGTGTTGACTTTGCACTGGCCTGGGCCATGAGATCCTGCACCCTGTCTGCGGCTCTCTGACTTTGCACTGCCCTGGGCCATGAGATCCTGCACCCTGTCTGAGGCTCTCTGACTTTGCACTGCCCTGGGCCATGAGATCCTGCACCCTGTCTGAGGCTCTCTGACTTTGCACTGGCCTGGGCCATGAGATCCTGCACCCTGTCTGTGGCTCTCTTGACCTGACATTGGATGGGCTTTGTGTTTCACTATTTGGTGGTTGGCACCGTCTCGGCACTGCTGGGGTGTGGGGTGATGCTCCCCATGTAGAGACTTGTCTGGCCAGGTGCTACGGCCATGTCCTGACGATGCAGGAGAGAGACCACCGGTCAACACCCTCGGTCTTGGACTTCCAGCCTCGGAACTGTGAGAAAATAAATGTGTGCTGTGCAGGTCGCCTGGTCTGAGGTCAGTTGTTTCGAAGCCCTGGCAAATTCACGGGGATGTAGCCAGACAAAACTGCGGCAAAAAGGCTTTTTCAGTCCTTGGAATGTTCTCATCCTTGTGGAGCGGCAGCGAGCTCCGTACTTGCTTCGCGTTTTGAGATTCCAGGTTTTGTCACTCGTTCATTCACAGACTCGCTCTGTGAGGCCACACGCAGTACCACACTGGCACCTGTCCTGTCCACAAGAGCATGGGCTGCAGAGCTGGGCATGGCTATCCCACGTCCCAAGAGGAGCTGGGTGCAGCAACCTCTGTTCCGAGAGGGGCTGGGCTCTGCGCCCTTTTTGTCCCCCTCCGTCCTCACCATTTCACTGCGTGGCTGGAACACAGGGACGCCCATGCACTCCAATGGTGCCGTCATCCCCTCCACGCATGGCATGTCCCTTATGCTGAGTGCCCAGAGTTGTTCCCTCCCCAGTAGCCAGGCTCCAAAACCATGCCCCTGGTCCTCAGGAGCCACTGTTTCTCCCTCGCCTCCCCTGAGCCCTGCGTGTAGCCCAGCATATGTGGGCTGTCTGCCCCACCAGGCTTAGAGACATTCTCAGCACATGAACGAGGCCACTTCCTCCATGGGCATCTGTGGACCCTGTTGGGCTCGGCTGCCCTGCTTGACCTGCTACTACCCTAGCAGCCCACCCTGCATCTGCTGTGCACCTGGGCAGGTGTGTGCTGGCCGCTTCCAGCCCTCCTGAGCTCTATGTGGACCTCCTTCCTCAGCACTGAGCAGGCAGGGTGAGGGCCAGGATGTCGCCTCCCGAGGCCCTAGCCGGCCATCCGTCAGGATCCCAACAACCTCAGCCCTGCTTCTCCACCTGCGAGTCACTGGGGATGGCACTGCCCACGCCTTCCCATGAAAGCACCGAGGCTGAATTTGCTGTCCTGGGGTGACGTCCTAGGGTGACGCCGTCCAGGGTCCTGGCACTGGGCCCTGGAAAGGATGCGGTCGGCTCCTCTCCAAAGCACATTCATTCAGGAAGCTGCAGAAATGATCCACACACCTTGTTTTCAAATTCTATTAGAATCTGCTATTAAACTCTTTTCTGAATTATTTCATAGAAAATGAAAGGCAGCAGTCCCCACAGATTTCTCTCTCTTATGGCTAATTATGAGGGAAATATATGATAAAACAGAGCAGCATTTTTTTTTTAATGAAGAGTATTTTGGAAGAAAGAAAATGTTCATATAAATTTCCTTTAAGGATTAAAAAAGTAGCCATATACGGCTATCATTCTAATACATTTAGTAAAATATTTGCACTCTTCCTTTCCATGACGATCAGTTGAAGTATGTCAGGGAAATTAAATAAAATACATGTTTAGGGACCCCCCCCCCTCCATAATCCATTAGTCTAAGAAATTGTCTTAAAAGCAGCATGTCATTATTTTAGAGTTAAACAGTTAAACGTTTTTATACAGGAACATCAAAACTATATATGCTTCAAACACCAAACCTTTTTTTAATGGCTTTCAGATAAAACAATTTATTTATGCAATTAACAACAACATGCAATTTCTAATAATTAGCAGATAATAGTTATCTGCAAAGTACTTTATAAAATTGCCTTTGAACTGCATTCGTTCTGTGGGGAATCACTGAAAATTGGACTATAAAATTACCAGAAAATGTACTGCATTAACAAGAATTTTCTGTATTCGGTTTCTCTTCAAATTTATGGGCTTGAATATTTGTAAACATTTGGTTTCATAGACAGAAACCCTATCACATCACCTCTCTAAAAGGGGAAAAGCACATTTTTGTGCATTTGGTTGTTTTAGAATTTTAATTTTCTTGATTTTAACTTTGCTTTCTCTTCTCCTCCTCCCCTCCCAAACAGGGACATTATTTTGCTATTATTTCTTCTTTGAGAATTAAAAAAATTACTAATATGCCATTTTTATTGGTATACATCAGTTCTTTCAAATTCCCTTTTATAAACAATATCATAAATTCAGTAATTGTAAAGTCTTCCTATTAAACTGCACTGTCTTTGAAGAAAGAACAATAAAAAACATGAGAGAAATGTGTTGGACGAGTATCAAGAGGACACGGGACACGCAAAGGGTATTTTCTATCCTCTCCTCCTATTTTAAGAGAAATCTCCATGGCGCCCACCGACCAGCAGTGCAAATGCGTCCTGCGCGCATGAGAACGTCATTACTTAAAAGCATATTTCCATCCTGTTTCTGATGGAACATTGTCTGTTAATGGACTGTGATAACACAGTTCAAATGACAGATCCAGGCTCAGGTTTGCCAAGATGGGAAGATGAAGCCAGGGACGCCGCTCACGTGGCCTGTGGCCTGGCCCGGCTGAGCCCCTGAAGGGCCAGATACAGCCTGGAAGTCGGCTCCGCCCCAGCCGCTGTGGGAGGACTCCCCGGTCCTGTTGCATCCACAATCTGGATGCAAGTCCCACGCTGGGCCTCGGAGAAGAGGTGGCTGCTCTTGTTTGCCAAGGCAATTTGCTGACTTCTAGCAGGAAAATGGCTTTTCCCCATATGAAATGGAAATGTGGGCATTGCTAGGAGAGAAAAGATAAAAGCAAAGTGGTTCTCAAGCTGGTTCCTCTCTGGGTGACCTGGCACGCTTGCTCTCACTGTGAAAACAGCTTGGAGAGAAAGGGTGAGGGGATTTCATTGTATTGATTTAAAAGGAAAATGCAGCTTTCATGTTTTACACAGAGCCCGTGTGAACGAGAAACCTGTGTCCTTCTCTGAGCTCTGGAAGTGTCTCCTGGAAGAGGGGAGCCGGTGCCCCAGCCGGGCGCCCACCTGGGCTCTGCAGTCCCAGTCCTGCTCTGAGCTCTGGAAGTGTCTCCTGGAAGAGGGGAGCCGCTGCCCCAGCCGGGCGCCCGCCTGGGCTCTGCAGTCCCAGGGAAATGGCTGCCTCCTCACGCTTGCGGCTCAGCCTCCAGTGCTTGGGGCCAAGGTTCAGATGAAGTTAGAAAATGATCAAAAGCCATTTGCTAATTTTATGCCATACACGTAGTATACGCAGAGAAAAGACACATGTTTAGTGTCCGAAGGTGCCCCATGAAGCAGGTACGGCGTATGTGAGCCCTCTGAGGCAAGGCTCCCCACAAGAAATGCTGACTGCTCCATAGGAGACCCGGCTGTCCCATGCCTGTGGTCTGTGGTTCTGGAAACTTCTACCATGGCTGGCTCCTGGGTGGCCTCCACATGGCCTGTCCCCGATGCCCTCTGACCAGGATCCACCAATGCAACTACAGGCAGGAGGCTGTAGGGAGGACCCTGTGAGGCCTGGTGTGGCCCTCAGCTCCTGGCTAGCCTGGGCCAGGACTAAATTCCCCGTAAACTGCCCTACAGTAGTGGGTTCGGTGGCATCTCCCAACATCCACGCCCACACAGAATCTCAGAGTGTGGCCTTATCTGTAAACTGGGCCTTCGCAGAAGGACTTGATTAAATGCGGTGATGCCAGAGTTGGGTAGGCCCCGATCCACACACTGCTGTCTTAGAGGAAGGTGGCCACATGAAGCCACAAGACACCCCACAGAGAAACTGCGTGGCCATGGGGACAAGATGGGGCAGTGAGGCCACCCAAGTCACAGAACCCAGCAACTGTGGAGCCTCCAGAAGCTGGAAGAGGTGGAGGGGTTCTCCCACAGAGCCCCTGGAGGGACGTGGCCCTGCTCACACCAGATTTGGGGCCTCTGGCCGTCACCACACGACGGCAGCGCTTTGCTGTGGCAACCTCCAGGAAGCCGTCTCCAGCTGCCTGAGCCCAGTCTCTGCCTTCTCCAGGTTCTCTGCTCCATCCCCAGGCTTCCCCAGTGTCCCTGGTCTTGGCTGCCATCTGCCTTCAGGGACACCAGGTGTTTTCCCAATCAAGCTTGTGGTCCTTGGAGTGAGAGGGCCGGGTTAGCTGCACCTTTGTATTTCTAGAGTCTCCAAAGCAGACACGGGTGGACGAGGTGGTAATGCTGACACATGTGACAGTGATGCTGACACTAGTGATGGGATGACTCATGTGAAGGTGACTCTGACTCTACTCACTCTACCCCAGCAGGAGCTTCCTGAACTTGGGCAGACGTCGGTGGTGGGACAGGCAAAGCGAGGTTGGGAAGGAAAGGCAAGGAAGGGTAATAAAGCAAAACCAAGTCCCAACCTTGGTCTCAGCAGCCACTCAGTGCTGGCCTGGAGCCCAGAATCTCCCACATCCCCGGCTCGCTGAGTCATGTGATGGTGGGATGACTCCGTGACTGTGGAATGACGCATGACCGTAGGGCGACTCACTGAGGGGGATGGCGACACACTGAGGGGGATGGCGACACACTGAGGGGGATGGCAACTCACTGAGGGGGATGGTGACACACTGAGGGGGACAGTGACACACTGAGGGGGACGGTGACACACTGAGAGCGATGGTGACTCACTGAGGGGGATGGTGACACAATGAGGGGGATGGTGACACACTGAGGGGGATGTGACACACCGAGGGGGGTGGTGACACACTGAAGGGGATGGTGGCTCACTGAGGGGGATAGTGGCTCACTGAGGGGGATAGTGACTCACTGAGGGGGATGGTGACACACTGAGGGGGATGGTGACACAATGGGGGATGGTTACTCACTGAGGGGGATGGTGGCACAATGAAGGGGATGGTCACACACTGAGGGGGATGTGACACACCGAGGGGGATGGTGACACACTGAGGGGGATGTGACTCACTGAGGGGGATGGTGACACAATGAAGGGGATGGTGACACACTGAGGGGGATGTGACACACCGAGGGGGATGGTGACACACTGAGGGGGATGTGACTCACTGAGGGGGGTGGTGACACAATGAAGGGGATGGTGACACACTGAGGGGGATGGTGACTCACTGAGGGGGAAGGTGACACACTGAGGGGGATGGTGACTCACTGAGGGCGATGGTGACACACTGAGGGGGATGGTGACTCACTGAGGGGGATGGTGACACACTGAGGGGGATGGTGACTCACTGAGGGGGAAGGTGACACACTGAGGGGGATGGTGACTCACTGAGGGCGACGGTGACACACTGAGGGGGATGGTGACTCACTGAGGGGGATGGTGACACACTGAGGGGGACGGTGACACAATGAAGGGGATGGTGACTCACT